>NC_000012.12:117005582-117157097 GCF_000001405.40 Homo sapiens
GCCGGAAGAAGATAAGACACAGGTCAGGGTGACCTTGTCGAAACACCACGTGATGCGTGCAGACAGCAAGGACTGTCAGCACTGACCAGGGGAATGGGCACTATGTGCCAAGGACATCATGGAGAAGAGAGCACAAAGGCAGCTGGAGTGGACGGAAAAGAAGAGAGCAGGCGGTTTAACTGCCTCACTGCCCAGCATCTGGCCTCTGATCACAACTTCCCTGTTCAGAAGAGCCAAGAGCCACATATGTGAGGCAGGTTACTAGGGATCAGAAAAGAAAGTGGGTAGATGGTATCATCTTCAGGAAGTGTAGTCACATCTTCCTCTCGTGCCTCTTCTCTTATACTCCACTCAGCCCAGCACAGCACCTCCTAACCTTTGGCTCTCTTTGCCACTGCCCTTTTTTAAATGGCGGCCAACAAATCATCTTCAATTGAAAAAGCTTTTAAAATGCTATTGTCTTGTAAGGAAGCCTTCCGACTCCTCCTGGGCTCTCTGGACAGACAGTGCTGGGCTTCTGGGGAGCTGAGCCAGCTGCTGGGGTGGCTTAATGCCTGGTGGTGGTTTAATGCCTGTAGCAGGTATTTGAGTATGAAGACTCAGTATTTTGGTAAAATTAAAACACAGAGTTCCTTTCCTCATTCATCAGTATAGGACCAAAATTCTGAGAGGGTAAGGCTCTATCATCTCTTCACAGTGATTTCAGTATGCAAGTGGTTCATGATTAATTATGAGGGTGATAGCCCCCAATTTAGGAAGAGCTTGCAGTGTTAATCCATTTCTTACTGGGTGAAGGAAGAAGTTGGTCTGCCTTGAGCTCACCCCGCCTCCCACCCCCACAGGGACAAGAGCCATCTCTCAGCTCTTTCCTTCACAGTTTGCCTGGAAAGCCAGTCCAGGCCACACCTGGATGCTGCGGGGCCCGCCTGCCCACGGCGGTGGCTGATGCCTCCCAGTTGTTGGGCCTGTAGCTGGTGTCTCCTTCCTGACTCTGGACCACCGCCCCTGCTGCTTAGGACACCAGCTGCCAGGACATGGCTAGAAGATGATCGGTGGGTCTCCTCAGAGAGGCAGGCCCCGTCTATGGAGGAGCAGGACAGCTGACGGTCAGGCCCCAGCTGGGGAAGAGGTGGGCTCTGTCAGCTGGCAGCAGGCTGGGACTTCTGCATGTCACCCAGCGTCCCTGCACGTTCATTCCAGTGCCTAGAAGATGATTGATAAATATCTGTTGGCCAGCTCTTGAATGAATCACAGCATTATTTATTTTATCTAAAAATTATAAACAATCCATATGGAGTTGTGTATCCACAGAGAAATTCTACACAACCATTAAAAAGAACAAGATCTATCTATAGGTATTGACACGTAGGGAAAAGGAGTTGTGAAATAATCCCATTTAGGAAAAAAATGTGTATACACACAGAGGCAGATGTGCAGAAGAAAAGTCAAAGTATATATATCAAACTGTTAAAAGTGGTGATTTGTGAGAGATGAATATACAGAGGGCTACCACTTCCTTTATAGAATTCTATTATGTTAGAATTTGTTGTAAGATGTATCATATTTGAAATCAGAAAAAGATTTTTAGAAATAGATTTCAGATACATCAGAATCATTGACAAAATTGCAAGTTAAGATTCTAAGACCAGGATTTATGGAAATACTTTAAGATCTCTAAGAAAAAAAAAAACAGATGAATAGAGAACTTTCTGCTAGAGTTCTTTTTAAAGATAGTGCTTGCTTTTCCCCCATTGCCTTCTAGGTCTACCTGCAAGCCAAAGAGGAGGAAAAATTCTTCTCTGTGTCATGCATTTCCTATAGTTACCATTGTAAAACACACAACCAGCCTCAACATGGTTTAGCTGTTTTAGCTAATTCTTACAGAAACATCTATTGCCTGCAAAAATTTGCTCTGTAATTACTGTTCAAGTGCTTCTCTAATATATACCTGGTACTTAAAAGGAACCATCCTCAACATCATCTTTGGCAGCTGCATTAGTGCAGAATATTTTCTCCGGGATTTGTGCTGGGGTAGGTTTTTCCAGCATATCTGTACACCTCTGAGAATGAGTCAAGTGGTCATGGGTTGAGACTCACCCAACTAGGGCAATAAAGAGAAAAATTAGTCTAATGCATGGTCTTAACAAGAGGGAGAGTGTGAGCATGAATAATTAATCTCACTAGTCTATGGCAATCAGATAAAATGAAGTCCCATTTGCTCAACCTTATTAAAAGAGAGAGAGTGCGTGGGAGGGAGGGAGAAATGGTAAAGGTCGTTAAGGGACTCGTAACGTGGAAAGAACTGCCTTTGAGATGGGTAATGTGTTTTCTAATCTCTGTGGTCTTTAACTAAACGTCATGGTAAAGGTACTCTTCAGATAGTTCGGATTCGTTTGAATTATTAAACATTTTAGAAAATACTGGACTCTGGACTACTAACTTAGATGTCTTTATGATGAATTTGCAGAGAGTCTTTTTGGAAAGGGATTACATCTCACTATATCACTAAGAAATAATTTATCCACTTGTCAAAAAAGAACAACTGGAAGACATAAAGACACATGGACCTACTCAGTATCAGATTTCAGTTCTTAGATTTACCATCAACATTCTACCGACTTAAAGGCCTTACCTTCCTGCTGCAGAAGTTGGAGTATTTTAAAAACAAGAGAACACTTGAAAGTGGATGCAGAATACTACTTTTATAATAGAACGTGAGGTTGCTCTTTTTATTTTCTCCCTCCAGGTGCCGATTTTATATAATTTTTAGGTTATTCTCTGATGATAAGAGATTTGGTTATTTCTATATACTTACTTGGAAGAATAAATTTACTCTTGATATTTTAAAATTGTTGAAATGTTCTGCGTCAGAAATTTTTCTTTTCAACTGCAATTGTTCTCTGTAGTCTTTATGGATTAAGAGGGCATTTTAAATTTTGAAATTGTCCTTCTTCCTTCCAGATGCTGTTAGCAATAGTTAATATTATAGTGTTGTTTTGACCATTAGAAACTTCCAAAGAAAGATTCACTTGTTAGAAATGTATGTTGACAGGATTGATTATTTTCAAGGTAGAGAATATTTAATTTATTATTAACTTCTCAATACTAAAGTAAAAATCTGTATCGTGGTAAGTGATAAATGTATAGGCTGACAAGAAGAAACGCACATCACTCTCATGTGTGTGCTGAGAGGAGAAATCTTTCTACAAAATACTACTATTAAAACCTTTGGCTGAGGCCAGGCGTGCTGGCTCATGCCTGTAATCTCAGCATTTTGGGAGGCTGAGGTGGGAGGATCACTTGAGGTCAGGAGATCGAGACCAGCCTGGCCAAAATTAGCCAGGTGTGGTGGCGGGCGCCTGTAGTCCCACCTACTCAGGAGGCTGAGGCAGGAGAATCGCTTGAACCCGGGAGGCGGAGCTTGCAGTGAGCCAAGATCGCGGCCACTGCACTCCAGCCTGGGCGATAGAGTGAGACTCAGTCTCAAAAACAAAAACAAAAACCTTTGGCTGGGTGCAGTGGCTCAGGCCTGTAATCCCAGCACTTTGGGAGGCCAAGGCAGGGGGATCACTTGAGCTCAAAAGTTTGAGACCCGGCTGGGCAACATAGTGAGACCGCTTCTCTACTTAAAAAATTTTTTAAAAAAGAAAGAAAGATATCATCAGCAGGCCGTGGTGTTACACACACATGGCCCCAGCTACTCGGGAGGCTGAGTGGGAGAATTGGCTGAGCCCAGGAGTTTGAGGCTACAGTGAGCTATAATGTTGCCACTGCACTCCAGCCTGGGTGACAGAGCAAGACCCTGTTCCCCCACCCCCTCAAAAAAACCAAAAACTTCTGAGTTCATTAATTTAAAAATGTCAACCACATGATCTCCAGGATAGAAAGTATGCTCAGAACTTGGTGTGTTTGTGTGTGTGTTAATGAGGAGCCTTCTGAATGTGAATTTGAGGCAAGGACTCTGTCCTCAGCACCTACGACAGTGACTGACACATAGGAAGCATTTAATGTTCTTTGAATTAAGTTGAATTGAATTAATACTTTTTAAGCAAAAAACGTAAATTTCCCCCTGCTGGAGAGAAGACACAGAGGTGTTCTAATATAACAGTGCATTGTCTGGAAATCAGGGGTACCTTCTTATTTACTTTCATACCCTATGGAACACAGCATCCTAACATTAGCAAGCAGAGAGTGAAGAGAAAAGTGTTTGGGAGTGAGTTTGTGTTTTGGTTTATAGTTCAGTCCGAAGGAAGCATCCAGTGGCTATGCAAGCTTCATCTTCCTGGTCCTTGTACTATTCTTTCTTTTCCCGCCTGTGACGTAAATTCAGATGAGAACTCATGCTGGCTCATCTGCAAGCTTCCTGATGCTTTGCGAGCTTTCCCATTCATTCCAAATCAGAAGCAGTCAGTGGCCCCGTGGTTTCCAGACGGCTTTCTCTTTGTTAAGAAATTAGAATACCTGATTTCCCTGCGTTTTCCTTGTGGCCTGAGTGTGCACCTTGGCTTGAGGAATTCGCTGGATTTCCTTCTCTCTTCCTTTGCATTTCTTTTTGGCACTCTTAATAGCCATGTCCCTATACTATCAGTAACCTGAAAAAGATCAGGAAATTAAGTGGCAGAACATCTTCACGGGAGCTCAGTGATAAGGATCATGCCCTCCACGATGGTGAAATGAAAGTATTTGATGTCGGCCTGGTGTGTGGAATTGTGGGCCCACACATTTCTCTTCCTCTCTCAGATCCTGGTGTATAGCCTGGAAGCAGGACGCCGCCTCTTGAAGCTGGGTAACGTTCTCCGTGACTTCACGTGTGTCAACCTCAGCGACAGCCCTCCCAACCTCATGGTCAGTGGCAACATGGACGGGAGGTACGTGAGTTGGAAGGGCATTGCCTTGCAGCCCCATGGCTTCTGCCAAGGCCCGGCCCCCACTGCGCTGCTCACACTGCCCGGTTCTCACTCAACAGCTCTGCCCACCTGAGTTCAGCCCCGATCCCATAAACACTCTAGACTCAGAGAACAAAGTCCTGTATTAGGTAATAGTTGGATGTAGCTATGTCTCTGCTTCATTTCTGAAGCACCACGGGAAGGTTTTCTTTTAAGCCATTTGGTGGCCGCAGTTGGTAGAAGGTCCAGGGAGACCACTTGGAATATCTTTTGTCCCCTGCTGCAAAATTTGTTTGGCACTTGAAAGCTCACTTTCTAATATTAAAAACAGTAACCTAAGGGATGAATCATGTTCAGCAAAATAGGGTTTCCTGCCAAACGATGTCAAGAGTGTATTTCAGAACACGGTGGTGTCCCTCTGGTGATGGAAGGAAAGAGAGACTTCATGTGAACAGATTCCACTTTCTATTTAGCTGATTAGCAGCCTTCTCTTTAATGCACTGGCTTAGGGAGTCGGATTTTCCCGGTATAGGGGCCTGTGCCAGCCCCGGGCGCCCCAGGAACCATCAGCACAAAAGGATTAAAGTGTTTGAAAAGACCCTTTGAGTCCAAATTTTAGGTTTCTCCCCGCCTCTTCTTTCCTTGTTTTTTTCTTTTCCTTTTTTTTTTTTTTTGGCCAGTTATCTGCTGTGTCTGATCCAGTGCCCTGAAGAGAGGTAGCATGGCTGAGGGCCAGGGGCTGCTGGCGCCCCCTCCCCTGGGCCCGGCCCCGGGCTGCAGGTGGCGGGCTGCTCGGAGGCGGGTGTCAGATCGTGAGGCGGGTACTCCTCTGTGCCAGATCCCAGGCCTCTGTCCCGCCAGTGCAGCAGCTTGCAAAAATAGTTATTCTGTCAAATAATATTTTCACCTCCCAACCTTCACCCCTAGATACCCACCCCCAACTTAGAGCAAGGAAATGATGTGAGTATGCTTTATTGGGAAGAAAAATAAGGCCTCCTAAAATGGCTGATGTTCCGGTGCTTGAGAACTGAACTCCTCAGTGTGTGTGTGGGGCACGCACTGGGCTAGTTCTCTTTAGAAACTAGGCTTGATAAGTGGCCCCACATGTGGCACGGCAAAAGAATCAAGTCAGTTTGTAGTTTTAATCCCGCATTTTAGTTTTCAGGTTGAGCTATACAGAGGCTCCAAGCTCCTCTCCTAGGATCTCCACACAGGGACCTGGCAGCTGCTTGGTTTTGAGGAGAGGCGATGTGGAGAGCTCTTTGGGATGGTGGATGGTGCTCAGAGTTTGCTTGCAGTGTGAACATTTATATCTTCAGCCACAGTTAGGCTCACCGGAAACCAGAAGGGTGTTGTGGAGAAGAAACCTCTGTTTTCTGCATAATTTCAAAAATATTAAGAAAAAAATTCTACAAAGTTCCAAAAAGCAAAACTTGAATTTGCAGCAAGCCAAGTACTATGTTGAATCATAATGAAGCGATGTGTAGGCATTGTATTCGCTCTTATAAGTAATCTAGAGATGGTTTTTAATGGAGGATGTGTGTAGGTTATATGCAAATACCACACCATTTTATATGTAAAGGGAGACTTGAGCATCTGTAGATTTTGGAATTGCAGGGGGTCTTGGAACCAATCCCCTGTGGATACTGAGGGCTGACTGTATACACTCAGTAAAGCTGACTTTTCCTCTGGAGCAAGCTGCCTCATTATGTACGCACTGCCAGGGAGGTGTTCCATGCATAGTGTCAAAGGGCTCTCTGGTCAGTTTGCAGTCCAAATCTGACTATGTTAAGTCCATTTTATTAGTAAGCCAATGTTACATTTTTTTTTAAAACGCTCTGTCTCTGTGGATGAAAAGAACAGACTAGTGACTTAGAGTTGGAGGTGGGGCATCCAAATTGGCATTTAACCAGTGTGAGTCCTAGAGTAGTGCCAGCTGTGTGCCCACTGCTGGTACATTAGGGGCCAGCCATCATATGTAAGAATACTCCCTGAGTCAGGGTTGCTCGGTCAGCAGCTTAGAATATAGGGGTTTAAAATCTGTTGTTTTAATAAAAATTGCACATCTAGAAAAAAGGAATGAGGAAGCTAGACTAAGTGTGGTAGAGGGAAGTCTTACATTTTTTCCCCGGAGGTTTAATAGCTATGAGTAAGATCTCATTAGAGATGCTGGCCCAGGCTTGTATAGCTTATGTTTTATGTCAAAAGTGGGAGAAAGGGGTCAAATATTATGAGGAGAACTATGTCCTTGGCTGTCACTTACTGACTGATGCAATTTTTTACAAACCCTAGAACCTTCCTATTTTAAAAACTTAATTCCCACTGCATTCTCTTAGTGCTTTATAAATAACTTGGGAATGAGATGAACTCTAAAGGTACATAAAACTGCCCCAGATTAAGACAAAAATGTTTTCATTAAAGTAGGGAATCAGTTTTAAGTAGTTTGCAAACATGGGTGGAATTTTATAAGGAGTTTTATTTTGGGGGTGTGGGGGGACAGTGAGCTTAAAGTAAAAATGAAAAAGGATCTATCCTATCACTCAAGAAAAACCAGACGCTTGAGGTCAGGAGTTCAAGGTCAGCCTGGCCAGATGGTGAAACCCCGTCTCTACTAAAATACAAAAATTAGCCACGCATGGTGACGCATGCCTGTAATCCCAGCTACTCGGAGGCTGAGGCAGGAGAATCGCTTGAACCCAGGAGGCGGAGGTTGCAGTGAGCTGAGATCACACCACTGCACTCCAGCCTGGGTGACAGAGCGAGACTCCATCATCTCAAAAAATAAAGAAAAACTAAAAAATAAACAGAGTCTGATGAAGAGCAAGAGAAAGATTGGGGTGGAAACTGAGTTAATGTTAGAGTATGCTTTTCCCTCGCTGGGAGGGAAGGCTTGTAAAGATGGGAGCGGAGAGAAAAGTGAGATTTTGCATAGGAGTTTTATCAGTGTAGATCAATGAGTTTTTCTGAAGGCATATTTTGTCTCTTCTCGCTAAGACTAAGAAGAAAGAGCAATGAGTAATGGTACGGGGAGTGATGCACGTCGGCATTAGGGCTGGCTGCTCATGTCCATTCCACTCACCACACTCTCTCTGGTACTCGGCGGGTGCCTAGCACAGTATATTTTCTATTTATTCTAAGATGTATATTAAAAAAAAATTTTTCACATCTATGAAATCAGAATGGACTTTTACAATAGCATCATAAAATGGCAGCATTTTTAAAAGTTACACAAAGTAATGATGCTTCTTGGAATCAGTGGTGTTTTCTTTTTATTTATTTATTTATTTATTTTTTATTATCATCAGTGGTGTTTTCAATGAAATGAAAGTATATATTCACTGAAGGCAACAATGAATTAATAGCTTAGGAATTGGGGCATTTATGAGAAGCTTGAATGAGTCACTAAGGAAAAGTCTGCAGGAAGTAATCACTTGTTTTTTTTTTTTGGTTTAAACCCTGTCTGGGGTTTATTAAGCGTTTAGAATCTGTATATTTATGTCTTTCACTAAATTTGGAGTTTCCTGCCATTATTTCCTCAAATAGTTTTTCTGAATATTCCCTTTCTCCTCTCCTTCCAGTAACCTCAATAATGTAAATATTAAACCTTGTGAAATTTTCCAACAGGCCACCAAAGCTCTGTTCATGTTCTTTCCCAAACCTTTCTTTCTGTTCTTCAGGCTGCATCATCTCCGTTGCTCTGACTTCAGGTTTATGGACTCTTTCCTGTGTCATCTCCATTCTGCTGTTGAGCCTATCCAGTGAATCTTTTATTTCAGATTTCATATTTTCTTGGTTAAAAATTTCCATTTGTTTCTTTTTTTATATATAGTTTCTGTGTCTCTGCTGAGGTTGTCACTGTCAGTATTCCCATGCATTTTACCTTTACCTCGTGGAATATAGCTACAACAAGTTCTTTAAAGTCGTTGAGGGTTCCCAAACTAGCTTATCTTAGGGTTGACATCTGTTAATTGTCTTTTCCCTTAAGAAAGGGTCACATTTTCCCGTTTGGCTTTTGGTTTGGGGTATGTCAAGTAATTTTGAATTGTGTTCTGGACATTGTGGATGTTGTGTTTTATACACTCTGGATCCTGTTATGTAATCCTCCAACGAATGATTTTTGTTTTGTTTTGCTTTTGAACAGGCAGTCACCCTGGTTAGGTTCAGACGGCAAGTTCTGTTTACCCTTTGTGGGTGGTGACTCCAATGTCAGTTTGCTTTCCAAAGCTGTTCAATTTCTATGCTGTTTTTGGTCTGCGCATGTGCCACATGGGTTGGCAGTGGTTCAGTCTTAGTTGAGCTCTTAAAGCCGTTGCCGTCCTGCTTTGAATCTGTCCCACATAGCCCAGGGATGAGCCTGGGATTTATGTGGGTTTAGACACAGTATTATGGGATCCCTTTCTTGAGATTCCTCCTCTCTCAATCCTTACACTTTCCAGCCTTCAGGGACTCCTATCCCTTACAGTTCTCTGGTCAGAAAGATGGGGTTTCTATCAGAGTTCTACCTGCCGGCATCGCCGCCACCATGCAGCATGTGACTGGGGACTGTCCTTGGGGCACAGCCACAAGAAAGAGAAAAAAACCTACAATAACCCTCACCCCTATTCTTTGAGGACGGCAGGGGCCCCCTTTTGTTCCTCTAGTCAGAAAGATGGAGTTTCTATTGGAGTTCTAGCTTCTTGCACCACCACACAGTTCTGCATGTTGGAGCCCATACTCAGGGCAAGGCTGCAAGAGGAAAAAGGGAAAAACATGGGAAACTCTTCCCCTGTACAGCCACTTCCATGGGTTTGACTCTCCTCTGCAATCCATCAGCTTGGGTTGACTCCCCAGAGTCCTCAGGTGTTTGTTTTTGTGTTTTGTCCATAGGTTTTGCTGGCAGTCGGCAGGAGAGAGGCAGCAGTGGGCTTACTCCGTTCTGGCCAGAATCAGAACGTCCTCCTTTCTTTTCAGTGAATTAAGTCAGCACAGTAGTTGGCAGTCAAGGGCTGTATTAAATGAGGGCCCTTCCTATTCTGTAGCTCTCAGGCTTCTCATCTGTGATCTGCTCATTTTCACCGTGCAACTGGGGATCTCGCAGGGAGAAGCTTATCCGTGCTGTGCTATGGAGAACCAAGAGTTGGTGCTAAGGGCAAATGTCAGGCTGTAACTGGGTTGCTAAGTCACTGAGCCAGCAAATTCCAGTGTTTTCCCCCATGGTCTCAAGTTTAGCAGCTGTACTGAGATTTAATTTACATGCCACATAATTCACCAATTTAAATTGTACAATTCAGTGTTTTAAGTAGGTCCACAAGGTTGTGCAGTTATCACTACAGTCCATTTTAGAACATTTTCACCCCAAATAGAAACCCCAAATCCATTAGCAGTCACTCCCCAGTTCCCTCATCCCCTCCAGCTTTAAGCAACCACTCATCTACTTTCTTTCTCTGGATTTGCCTGAACATCTCCTATAAATGAAATGATGTAATCTATGACCTTTTATGACTGGCTTATTCCACTTAGCATGTTTTTAAGATAAACCCAAGTTGTAGCATGTATCAGTATGTCATTCCTTTTTCTGGCCAAGTAATATTCCCTTGTACAGATATACTACATTTTCTTTATATCAATTAGTGGACATTTGGGTTGCTTCCACCTTTTGACTATTATAATGCTACTGTTATCATTTATGTGTAAGTTTGTATGCATATTTTCAGTTCAGTTGGGGAAATACACTGGGAGTGGAATTGCTGGCTTATGTGGTAATTCTGTGTTAAACCATGTGAGGAATTGCCAGACTCTTCTATAGTGGCTGTACCATTTTACATTCCCACCAGCACTGGATGAGGGTTGTAGTTTCTCCACCTCCTCACCAACACTTGCTACAGTCTCGAATTCTAGATTTGCATTTCTCTGACAGCCAGTGGTGATTAACATCCTTTCACGTGCTTATTGCCTGTTTGTATATCTTCTCTGGAGAGATGTCTATCCAAATCCTCAGCCCATTTTTTAATTGGGCTGTCTTTATATTATTGAGTTATTAGAGTATTTTTTTAATATAGCCCAGGTACAAATCTCTCATCAGATATGTGATTTGCAAAATATTTTCTCCCATTCTGTGGGTTGTCTTTTCGCTTTCTACATTGTATTCTTTGAAGCACACAAGTTTTCAATTTTGATGAAGTTCTATTTGTCTGGTTTTTTTTTTTTTTTCCTTTTGTCATTTGTGCTATGGATGTCATAGCTAAGAAACCATTTCCTAACCCAGGCTCACAAAGATTAACTCCTAAGTTTTCTTCAAAGGGTTTTATAGTTTTGGCTCTTACACTGAGGTCTGTGATCCATTTGGAGTTAATTTTTGTATATGGTGTGAGGTAGAGACCTAAACTTCATTCTTTTCCATGTGGATATCCAGCTATCCTGGCACCATCTGTTGAAAAGACAATTCTCTCCCCCATTCAATTGTCTTGGCACCACTGTTGAAAATCAATGGACTGTAACTTTGAGGGGTTATTCCGGACTCTCAGTTCTGTTCTGTTGATCTGTATGTCTGTGTTCTGGCACTACCACGCTGTACAGCTTTTTGATTACAATACCTCACCCTTTCTAAAATAAGTAATGTAACAGTAAACTTCCAAATGTCAGGCATGTTGAATAGTGTCACTGTATATGAAAGTAACAGTATGGATGTAGGAAATACTCATGACTTAGTTAATAACTAAATGTTTTAGTATTTCCAACTTGGGACCATGTGCCCTTTTCTTGGCATTATATACATTATCATCTTTGTCCACTGAATGGACTTGTTATGGATCTCAGAATTTTGGGTCTAGTAGACCTCTTCAAGACCATCTAATGCCGGTCCAGAAAGGTTCAGTGACCAGTCAGTCCGAAGGGCTTGTTAATCTTGGCCACATAGAATTTTATGTTCTCTATACAGAGAACTCTAAACTTCAGAGATACAGCCTTAAAATACAGAGAGCACTAAGCTTAGGCTAGCTGCATTAAACTGGCAGTTCTACCTGAAAATACACTTTTTTCTAGTTGCCGTTTAAAATGAATCTTTCACCAAAGGCCATTGTCAGTGCTTTGTAGATAAAGCTATTGATTTTGGCATATAAGGTTATATTTAAAATCCTCTTTAATATTTAATAGCCCAGGTTCAGTGAGAGCAAACAGAATCATGTATTGATTTCTTTAAAAAAATACTATTTTTAAAATTAATTTGGTCATAAAAAAAGCCTACATTGTAATACCTTATTGCTTGTTCTCTTTGTTTTCTGGGTAGAAATATTAGCAGAAGGTCAGGTCCTCCTTAATGAAACTGCCGAGCCAGACACTGAATAGGCTTCAGCTTGCCATCAGCTACGGTGTTCCTCATTATCATATGGGAGTATTTAATCCAAGCCAATAGGAAGCACGCCCTGAGTTGTGACCCCCCAATTACAGAGTCTCAGTGCTTGCTTCTTGCCCTGACAAATATAAAGTTGTGTGCTGTGCTCGTGCTACTGCTGCCTGCTGTTAGAGAGAGAGTGATTGGGGCGTAAATGTTGCATTTGCTCCATCTGCAAGTGTTATAATAAGTTATTCAGAGCTCTTAACACAGGACCAACCAGAGCGTGCCTCCCTCTCGGTTCCAGCACGTTTTCCTGCCCATCAGATGGATGCTCCTCTGTTGGAGTCTTTGGAAGGTTCTGGTGTCTTTTGTTTTAATTGGTGGGCTACCGCCGACTCCTATGGTGTGATTTTCATTAGAGAGGGGCTGGAGAGAGGGAGTGTTGGAACTGTCCTCCAAGCCCAACCATGAATATTAAACATAATACAATTACAGCTTTCAGACCAATTATTTTTCCTTTCAATGGGCAAAGTTGATGAAATACTCGCTAGATGGGGATTCACAATATCTACCATTGGCTCCTCTTTGTCCCTGGAATCGGTTGTCTTGGCATATTCTGGTGCCCATTTGCTGTGCTACCTGTTTCCCAGCGTCGAGTATTTGGTTTGAGTGCTGAGCTGACGACGGGCTTTGCCAAGGCGCACGGCATTCGGGCCTGTGCTGCGCGCTGTCAGATGTCCGAGGCAGATACCTGTTTCTTCATGTGAATCTGAATGGCTTGGGTGGACTTAGCACACTGTGCTGTCTGCTGTTTCTGTCGACGAGAAGCCAGAGTGGTGCTTCTCTAAGGAGATGTCAGAAAAATGTTTTTCCTTTTTCCCAGGGGGGAGAAATTCAAGGCTGGTTTGGCCTATTTTTTTTTCCTTAGTGATATAAAATACACTGAGGCCGCATCTTTTGGTTTATTTGTTTATTTTGTTTGGAGCCATCCATGCTGGTATCTAAATACAATAGGAAAACAGATGGCAAACTTTGAACTTCTGGACCAAATTTGTGTTTGCCTTTGTCTCCTTAACAGCCAAACTGTAAATTATGGAGTATAAATATTCAACAGAGGAGCTCTTTATGGAAATCACCATAGCTGAATAGACTCTGATTAACCAAATATGCACTGAAAAGTACTTGGTAAACACTTCCGCTCCCCCTTTCCCCAATCCTTTTCAAGTTCCCATTATGGACTAAGGTTAGAGTTCTCTTTACAGCATTTATACTTTTTCTCTTCTCTTACCTACGCATGCCTAAGGATAGGTGTCTGTAAACGTGACAGAGAGAGACCTTTGTTTACAAAGTCATCTTCAAGCTCTCTCTGCATCTTTCTGCTCCCAGATCCCTCACTGGCAAGTCAGGGACTGAGCAGCATTTGTAGCAACGGACCTATTATGTATCATCTATACATTATCATCTGTGTCCACTGGATGGACTTGTTATGGATCTCAGAATTTTGGATCTAGCAGACCTCTTCAAGACCATCTAATGCTGGTCCAGAAAGGTTCAGTGGCCAGTCCGAAGGGCTTGTTAATGTTGGCCACATAGAATTTTATGTTCTCTATACAGAGAACTCTCAACTTGTCCCTGGAATCGGTTGTCTTGGCATATTCTGGTGCCCATTTGCTGTGCTACCTGTTTCCCAGCGTTGAGTATATCTATTCACTTGGGTTGCCTTGTCAGTTACATGGCCTAGCAGGAAGAAGAAACAGTCTCTCCTCTGTGTCCTAAAACGACGTGTTGTTCCATCCTGTTTTATTTCACCTTTTCTAAGAAATAGATGAAAGTATTATTTTTTAATTATGAAACCGAACATATGTATGGGAGTGTATATAAGGTGCGCATACAGTTTCAAGAGTAACCGAGAATGCCCGCGCATCCACCTCTCAGCTCAAGAAAGAGAGTGTGACTGTTGAAGGCCTCCCGGTCATGAATGAATTCTTGTTTTTTAAACATGGCAGCGTCCAGAATAAAACACAAAAGCCGCCTTTATTGCCCTCTTTCTTCTCCAAGGTAATTGTTGTTAATGTTTCAAGTACGTGCTTCCAGAATTTGATCTTTAAAATTGTTTGGTTTTATTTAAACAGGAAGTACGCACATTCAAAATGGGCCTCAAAAGCAGAGTAGCCTAGAGGGCGAAGCGCACCCCTCTTCCCAGCAGCCTTGTCAGCCTCCCTCATTGCGACTGCTTAAATGCTGAGCGTTCTCTGGGGGCCGCCCACACACGCACAGCCTAAATGCATGTCCCCCAGCACACACCTGTGCGCACGGCTGCCAGTCAGCCTGTGTAGTTCTGCCCCGGGTCCCACTGTATGGATGTACCATAATTGCTTTAACTAGCACTCAGTTGAAGAGCTAGTTAATCGTGTCACCTACGTCATTCCAGTTCATGACAGCTAAAATGTGTCTGATTTTTCCTGTCAGTCTAATTATCTTTCCTTAATAGGTAATGTCTTTTTCTCTCAGGCTGCTTTTAGGACCTCTTGGTCTTTGTGTTTCCCCATTTTTTAAATTATACTCTTAGATATGTATTTTGTGTTTGATTCGTGTGCATTGAGTCGGCATGCATGTCTTTCATCAGTTCGGGAAACATCAGCTGTTAGCTGTCCGCACTCTGTTTTTCTCCTTCCGGAACTTGGGGCGTGTGGTGCACCACCCCTTCTGTCCCTCATGTCTCTTATACCCCCATTCGCAGTTTTCATATTTATCTCTTTGTGCTCCATTCTTGGTAATTTCTTCACATTTTTCTTCTGATTCACGCATTCTCTGATCTGCTTCCAGCCTATCTCCCAAATTTAATTTCAGGGACTATACTTTCATGCTTTTGTATTGAAAGCAGGAGTCTCCATACTCCGCTCCCTGCCTAGGGTGGCCCTTCAGTGTGTTTGATGAAACCACGGAGCTGAGCCTGGCGCTTGCCAGCAGCCTCCCCTCCCCTGAAGTCGCAGCTCACCCTCTCCTGTCTGGTTTTCAGCTCAGGTCCTGGGGAAGTCACTTCCTACGTGAGCTCAGCAGTGCCCTTAAAAGGATTTTATCCAGCATTTTTAAGCGTTTTACAGTGGAACTGTCAACATGTTGTCTGAAACAGAAGCCTCTTTTGCAACTAAGAGCAGTGACTGGCCTTGCGTGTATGTGGACTCTTGTGTAGCTACCTCCTCGAAGTGGAATTGCCGGCTCAGAAGTGAGGTGCATGTGGTATTTGGTTGGATATTGCCAAGTCACTCCCCAGAGAAGGATTTCTGCTCGCCTCAGCTGTCTAGGAGTACCTACCTGTCCATGTCTCCCTGCCACACAGTGCCTCGTAGGGCATGTTACCAAACTTTACCTTTGCTGGGTAGATTGGTGACAAGTGGCATTGCATTGTAGTTTTACTGTGTAATTTATCTGATTACCAGCAAACTTAAACATCTTACACATGTTTAAAAGCCATTAGTATTTTTCTGTGAATTGCTTTTTCTTATCTTTTCTGTCGATTTAATAATGGGTTGTCAGTCTTTACTAATTTGAAGGCATTTATTATAAGACATTAGCCCTTTTTGTTGCAAACATTTTCCTCAGTTTATCATTGGACTGACTTTCTGATTGTTCCCCCCAATAGGAAAAAGTTAAACCCTTTTTTCACCTTCCATATTTTGTTATGTTTAGAAAGGTCTTCCTCCTTTGAATATGTTTTATAGTTTATGTTTAACTCTTTGCGCTCTCTGTAATTTGTGTAATATATGTGATTGATAGAGCTCCAAGTTGAGAAAATTATTATAGAGTATTTTGCCTCTAACTGCTGTTACAAATGGGACATTTTCTTTGATTCTATTTATTTTTAAACTAGATTTTAGCATATAAATTTATATTTGACTCTGTGTTACTGAATTCTCTGGGACTGTCCCTTCTCACTGATAAGAAGTCTACCCACTTCTTTCCGATTTTTTTTAACCTTTCATTTTTTCCTTTTGTCTAATTGTGTCTGGTTTTTAAAAAGCGATGTGAAGTAATGGTGGTGCCAGTGCCTCACTGTTTCTAAAGACCACATCTGGAATGGCTGTGACGTTTCATCCCGTTGCTTTCGGCTTCCATGGACGTGACTGCCTGGTTTTTCGTTGATTCCCCTTGTCTGTGGCATCTTGCTGTGGAGTCTGTTCCTGATGTTTCACTCGGATATGTAGTTTTCTTTGATCATGCTCTCAGGGTTAGGCTTTGGTAATAGAATGCTGGCTTCATGGAGAATTTGGAAGCTTTCCTCCTTTTCCTAGGCTGTGGAACAGTTAACTTAGCCCTGGAGGCAGCTGGTCCTTAACAGGTCTGGCCAAAGTCACTTGTTCTTTTTTTGCAGGGATTGTTGCCCCTTGCTGGCTTCCTCAGGCTGCTATTTGTTATTTTATCTACTTGGATTTTCTGTCTCCTGGGGATTCGTTTTGATAATTCTTATTTTCCCAGAAAGCCATTTACTCATCTAAGTTTTCAGATTTGGAGATTTTAAAAATTCAAGAAATAGAAATAATTTCTGAATAGATTATAGTGACTAAAGAAACTATTAAAAAAAAAAAAAAACAGGCTGGGTGCAATGGCACATGCCTGTAATCCCGGCACTTTAGGAGGCTGAGGTGGGTAGATCCCTTGGCCCAGGAGTTCGAGACCAGCCTGAGCAACACAGCAAAACCGTCTCTACTGAAAATAAAAAAAAAATTAGCCTGGTGTGGTAGCACGTGCTTGTAGTCCCAGCTATTCGGGACGCTGAGGTGGGAGGATCACCTGAGCCCAGGAAGCTGAGGCTGCAGTGAGCCATGATGGTGCCACTACACTCCAGCCTGGGTGATGGGAGTGAGGCCCTGTCTTTAAAAAAAATAATAAACAACAAAACCTATAAAAAGAAATGTGATCCATGGAGTTTGTTTTTCCAGGTCTGACCGAACACTGAGTAAACTGCCCCTTCGTTGTTTTAAGTGCTCTCAGTGAATGCTTTTGCCTTGAACTACTCTGCCTTTTCTAGCATTAAAATTGCAACATCTTTTCATCCTCCTTTACAGATGTGTTTTTCATGCATAGCATATATTTTTACTTTGTGATCCATGGGCAGCTCTTCTTGTTAATAGGAAGGTTTGTCCTGTGTGCCTCCATGGACCCAGCAGACACACCAGGTCCCACTTAAGCCATCTGTCTTCTTGTTCTGGTATTTTGCTATGCCACTTTCTTTCAGAGAGTATCCACAGGTAGTTCACTTTGAGTCCTTTTCTGTTAAAGAAAAAGAAGTCTTTCTTTATTATGCCTTCACACTTGGTAGCTAAGCTAGGTATAGAATTGTTGGTTCAAAATAATTTTCCCTCAGAACTTGGAAAATTGACGTGTGTGCGCATGCTTGCATAACTAGAGTCAGGGCACGGGACATGTTTCAGAGAATCCTGTCGCTCCACAGCTTTTGGGTCAGACGTGCGTTTTTAATCTTACATCCTTGTGCTTGTCCTGTTCCTTGCTAGATGCTGGGGTCTTTCTTTTCAGGGCAGGGACTGTCTTTTCCTTTTCGACTTGCATCACAGGGTCTCTTAAGCTCATCTTTACATTTATTAAATGTAATGAATTTGATTTACTTTTAGCCTTTGGCTTATTGTAGAAACCAAGTAGGGTGGTGTTTGTAGTGGATACGAGATTTCTGTCCCATTATCTAATTTATCCTCGTGAAAAATTCCACATACATAAAAAGTAGTTTTTAAAGAGGTTCTTAAAGAAATGGGGATTATTATAAGGCAAGTAATTATTTCAATAAGTGACTGCCCAGGGTACACACACCCTTATCCCCGCTCTGCTGTGCTTATCAAGGATAAAGGCTTTCCCTTTCTCAGTTCCAGCAAGACAGCAATGAACTTACAAAGTCAAGTGAAATACCCAAAAAGTGTTCTTTTCCTAACCGGGTCCTCACCCGGTTAGGATCTGGGGTGTCTGGCTTTGTAGCTCTTGCCTTTAACAGGTTATTTTACCAACAGCAAAATTACTGTGCTGGGCAGTACACCTACTGCTGGGACAGGCGTCTCAGGCCAACCTGCGCATGCAGTCATGCAGGTGGCTTTTCCCTGTTAAGCAGGTAAAGTGGGCAGCCACTGTCCTTGGCCTGCGTCTTTCTTGCTCCATGTGCTTTTAAACCATTCAGATGAGACCGTGTGGGTCCTCCCTGACAGTCTGTGCTTGATGTCCTTATTATCGATGTTTGTTTGCAGCTGAGGAGTTTTTCATAGCAGTGTTGTGCATAGACCAGCACCGTGGAGGGGGAGTTTGTCATTTGAAGCTTTGACTCTAACCCCATTTCCCTTCTCTGCTCTTCCTGGGCCTGTCCAGGGTGAGGATCCACGACCTCCGCAGTGGTAACATCGCCCTGTCGCTCTCCGCCCATCAGCTCAGGGTCTCTGCTGTGCAGATGGATGACTGGAAGATCGTCAGTGGAGGCGAGGAAGGCCTGGTGTCCGTGTGGGATTATCGGATGAACCAGAAGCTGTGGGAGGTGTATTCCGGGTAAGGTGCATTCTAGACACTCTTGGGAGTTCCTAGTAGGAACAGGGAAGGCAGCACTAATCAGCCTGCACCAGGCACGGTGCTAAATGCCCCCTACCCCCCGGCTTCGCCAGGTGAATCCTTACTGTGACCCTAGGAGCCAGCTGCTGTCCCAGCACCGCTCTGCAGAGGAGGAAACAGGCTTGGAAATGGCGCTGGTCAGTGGGGATGCAGTTCCTGTCTCTGACATCATTCAGATCGCCACAATTCCTACATTAGCCAGGCCCAGCTTTCTCTAAGAATGAAACTACTTTTTTGCAAGTGCTATTCTGATTATTTTAGGATTTCTCCATCTTAATAAACAGAAAAGGGAACTCAAAAACATAGGAAGCTCGCTGGGCTAGACCAGGATGTGACACCCCACCTGCCCACAGGTGGAAGGCAGGGCTGGCCCAGCTGCTGTCCTCCACTCGAGTCCGTCATGTGTAACCATGGTTCTGCCCGTTGCTTAGACTTTCCTCATGCTGTTTACAGAGAAGAGCACTTAGGACTGAAGGGGTTCAGGCTCCAACGAAGGAGGAATTTGTCATTTCCACCTTTAACACCACTATTCAAAATATAAATAAATACTATCCTAAGCACAGGCTGATGGCGTCACAGAGGTAGGTAGGTTTACGCCAGTGGCACCTAACTGGTTAAGACATTTCCAGTGAGCCTGCTTCTGACCTTCAAAGCAGCAGCCCAGCCCAGGGCTGGCTCATCAGAGCTGACTTGAGCCCACCTGCCACCACCTCTACCTGGCCCTGCAGGCCTCGAACAGGAGACCCTGCGTTTGAGACAGGTGGGGAGAAAGGCAGCCGGCCCTCTCGCTTGCTGCCCTCAGCACCACTGTGAAGAGACATTCGGCCAGACACGTGGCTCACCTGTAATCCCAGCTACTCAGGAGACTGAGGAGCTCTCAAGGCCAGGGGTTTGAGGCTGCAGTGACTGTGTCACTGTACTCCAGCCTGGGTGACAGAATGAAACCCCATCTCTACAAAACCGAGATGATTCTGGGCCAGTGGCCTCTGAGCATGACAACATAGAAGAGCAGAAACAGGGCAAGGCCCTCCCACAGGAACTAAGATTTGTTCCCCACTTACCGCAAATCAAGGTAAACCGACCTCTGAGAACACAACCTCTGAGCAGCGACATGGTCTTTATGGAAGTGCAAGGTCAGCAATTTGACAGGTGTCTCCAAGAGGCGGCAGGGTTACATGCAGAATGGGCTTCTTCCTTGGAGGGCAGTGTTGGCAAACACTGTGGCCGGCACATTTTATCAGACAGAGCCCTGGGTACTGCCTGGCCCGCCCCCTCGCTGTGGCTGTGCCTGTTGAGGGCGCCTCGGCCCTTTTTCTGAATGGTGATGCACTGAATTGCCACCAGGTGGTGCCAAACGGCAACTAAAACTCCCGCACTGAAATTCCCGGAAGCATTGCCTTTGAGGAAAACCCTGGATCAGCCATCCAGGTCCTCAGGGATGGCTGCCAGCCCCCAACTCCAGTAGATCTCATTTTTCTCTCAGCAAAGCTTCACTCCCTGGGACAGGCCACTGAGATGAAGCCTAGCTAAGGAAGGCCTTCCCCAGAGGTGTGGCCCTGTCCCAGCACTGCCTCTGTCCCTGTGCGGTCCAGGCTTGTCCCCCACGTGGTCACTGTTTTCACCAGCACAAGGCTGACAGACACATGGTCTCCTGCCCAGAACTCACTGACTTGCTCAAGGCCTCACCTGCAGTGCCTGCTGCCAGGCCCCAGTCTGGCTGTTGTTTGGTCACTGTCATGTACCTCCCGCTGTCCGCTTCAGTCTCTTCAGCCCAGGTCCTCGCCTGCCTGACAGGGTGCCGTCAGTCCTCCAGGCTGCAGGCCTCCACCAAGCCTGCCCTCCCTCCCCGGGTCTTTCTCATCCTCCAGGTCCCATGCCAGGTCCACCAACACTTTCCTTCAGTCCTCCAGGCTGCAGGCCTCCACCAAGCCTGCCCTCCCTCCCCGGGTCTTTCTCATCCTCCAGGTCCCATGCCAGGTCCACCAACACTTTCCTTCAGTCCTCCAGGCTGCAGGCCTCCACCAAGCCTGCCCTCCCTTCCCGGGTCTTTCTCATCCTCCAGGTCCCATGCCAGGTCCACCAACACTTTCCTTCTGTGGGTGTCCCAACCCCAGGGAGGCAGGGACTGCTTCCCAGCTTCCCTCACTTCCAAGAATCCTTTGCTTTAGTCAAGGAGAGCAGCCCTGGCCCAGCCCACACAGGCCTCGTCCCCTCCTGTGCACCCCTCCCAGCCCACAGCACCTCCTGCTCCTCCCAGCACTTAACTCTGGGTCACACATTCTTTGTAGCTTGTAACATCGCTCGTGCTACAGAAACAATGGTCATGTTTTCTGGGACTGCATCTTACCTTCTTCACTAGCTAGGGCTCTCCCTGGGCCAGGCATCCACCTGGATGAGACATCTTTTTAATCCAGTGTCTCCTAGCTCAGTGCCGTGACCACAGCCGGTACTGCATGAAAGTTTCAGAATGAACGCAAACCTCTGTTCAAGAGACTTGGAACCATTTTGTTCCAAGATTTTCCGAACGTGCTTTCACCACCCAGGGTACGTGTGTCATTGCAGCCCTATGAGCAGGATGTGGGGGGCACCTTCATGGATCAACAGTGAACGTGCCCCCAGTGCTCCATAGATGATGGAGAGCCTGGCTGGGAAAGCTCAAGGGACTTGCCCAGGGAGGCAGCGATGGGCCAGTCTCTGTTGCATGTGGCTGATTCGTCTGCAGTAGGGTGTGCCCTTTATGTCTGGAATGTACCAGGTTGTGGGGGCAGATGCCAGCATGCGTACGGGGCATGCAGACCTGTTTACAAAGTCATGCCCAAAGCGTGGCCTGCTCACCTGAGCTTCGGGAACTGAGGTGAGACACTGCTTCCATGGGGGCCCTGTTCCCTCTGTGAAAGAGAAGCTTAGCTTTATGGGTTCTAGAATCCCCTGCAGCTCTGAACTCCCAGGCCTGCGGCAGCAAGTGCAGGCCCAGTGGACGCCCCCTTACGAGCTCTCTCCCACTGCCTTCCAGGCACCCGGTGCAGCACATCTCATTCAGCAGCCACAGCCTCATCACGGCCAACGTGCCTTACCAGACGGTAATGCGAAACGCCGACCTGGACAGCTTCACTACTCACAGGAGGTTAGTGGTGGGGCCGGGCGAGTAAGAGACCATCTTAGTTTGACTGATGTATAGAACCCCACCCCCCCCGCCGTGACACATTGCACCCTATGGGCTATACCCTCAGGCAGGGCCCTGCCTTTCTGCGAATTGGAAACATAAACGTGGATGCTGACCTGTACTGAGCACCCAGCATCTGATGCAGGACAGCCCCGTGGGGCGAGTCCACGCTGTCGGCTGTACAGAGAGGGAGGGCAAGCCGTATGCTGAGGGGCCTGCTGTGGTTAGAATCCTGTCAGGGGCAAGGCCCGCCCTCTTGAGTCCTTGCCCTGTGACACTCACTGCGCCCATCGGACTTGTGCACCCCCACGTTGACCGCTAAGCCGGGGACTGTGAGTATCTGACGCTGTGTGCCCAGAGAACGCGTTTGTGAAGCTGAACCTCTATCTGGTCTCAGGCGAACGCCTCCTGCACAGACAGAAGCGGCTGGGGTGAGGGCCAGCGAGGCAGCCCTGACCTGTCACCATCTTTGTGCTCTTTCTAGACACCGGGGGCTGATCCGCGCCTATGAGTTTGCGGTGGACCAGCTGGCCTTCCAGAGCCCTCTCCCTGTCTGCCGTTCATCCTGTGACGCCATGGCCACTCACTACTACGACCTCGCACTGGCCTTTCCCTATAACCATGTTTAGGGATGTGCCTCAGTTGGGAGCAAGGAGAAAAATGGGAAGAACCAGTTTTATCCATCTTAAAACGCCAGGCACCTCTTCACAGGTGGTAAACATTTAGGGGAAGAAAGCAGCCCAGGGTGCCATGCCTGACAGCACGCATCTCCCTGACCCCTGCACTTCCCCCAGCGCCTGGGGCAAGCTGGCGTGTGCCAGGGCTCGAGTCCCACGTGCTGCCAACTCAAACATAGCCTCCTTCCCCACCCAGCTGGCCACCCTGGCCTCAGCTCCCTCAGGACGCCTCAGGGATCTCGCTGCGCGGTCCTATACGGTCCCTGCTTAGCCAGCTTCTGTGTGTCCGCCCTCCCAGCTCCAGCCCTGCAGGCCGTCTTTTCCGTCTCCAGCCCCTTACCTCTTTTCCTCCGAGGGCCTTTGGATGTGCTTGTTCCTGGCCTCCAAGGCAATAACCTCCATGTCCTTTTCCCTGTATTTACTTGGGGTGCTCTTCTGTGACACTTGCCACCACCACCTTCCAGTAGCAAGCTGGTAGAGCTGTACTTTTTCTTCACAGCTTTTACCATGGTTTATAATTATATACTTATACAGTTTAGTCATCAATGACTATTTTGCTTACTATTGTGTCTATGATATGTGATACAAAGCAAATATTTTCTAAATATTCATTGACTAAACAGCCATCAAGATGAAACAGGACAGGAGAGAACTGTTCAGTGTGATACAGAGCTGCCATTTCCAAAGTATTCTGGAAGCAAGCCATTGCCTTACTCTTGATTTTCAACAGTTCTAAACAGCAACAGCATCCACCTAATATACCTTCAGAATATCAAAGCGAAAACTGATAGAACTACAAAGAGAAATAAAATCCATTCTCACGGCAGGCAAATCAGTGAGAAAAATGTAAAGATCTGGAGGATTTACTTAGTATCGCTAACAAGCTGGATCCAGTAGATGCGTATGGAATTTCAAATACACATAGACGATGCACAAAAAACCACCCTGTACGAAGGCCACAAAGAACAGCTCAGATGCACAAAGATTCACACCATACAGGCCAAATTATAGAATCCCCCAACCCCAAGACACTGCACCCTATGGGCTATACCCTCAGGCAGGGCCCTGCTTTTCTAGGAATTGACTCCAATGCAGAATAGTGAGAAATCAACAAAAAGCAAAATAAGACAATTCCAGACACTCCTGAATTTACTTGGATTTAAAGAGGTTAATAAAAACAAACTATAAACTCTCTAGACTGGGCTGACAGTAAAAGCACAGAATACAAAACCCAGGGGATGGGGCTGGGAGGGGCTGTGAGGGGCTGGCACCTCAGCTCAGAAAAGGTAGCAGCAATCCCAAAGCAGCAGAAGGCAGGGGTTAAATCAGGATAAAAACAGACATCAGTGGAATCGAAAACCAATAGTTAGTTAATATAAAGCCAGAAGGTTTTGTTTTTTTTCAGGTGGGGTCTCGCTCTGTCACCTAGACTAGACTGGAGTGCAATGGCCTGATCTCGGCTCACTGCAACCTCTGCCTCCCGAGTTCAAGCAATTCTCCTGCCTCAGCCTCCTGAGTAGCTGGGATTACAGGCGTCCGCTACCACAACTGGCTAATTTTTACATTTTTAGTAGAGACGGGGGATATTGCTATGTTGGCCAGGCTGGTCTCAAACTTCTGACCTCAAATGATTGCCTGCCTCAGCCTCCCAAAGTGC
This sequence comes from Homo sapiens, assembly GCF_000001405.40. NCBI lineage: Eukaryota > Metazoa > Chordata > Mammalia > Primates > Hominidae > Homo > Homo sapiens. Next base: position 117,029,878 of record NC_000012.12, read on the forward strand.
TGGGATTACAGGTGTAAGTCACTGTACCCAGCCCAAAAGCAGTTTAAAAAAAAAAAAGACAAAATATACAACTCTTGATAAAACATAAAGGTACAGTGGTCTATGAGGAAGAGAAAAGGTACCTGAGGATGCAGAAGTACCTACCACATGGGAACCGTTTGTCCACACTCATTCCAGAGAAAACCGAGTCCTCTCAGTTGCACACGTGTACGTATCAGTGGGAAGTGCTTGCCATTACTCCAAAGCCTAGAACCTTCACGTCATGAAGGTTCTGGAAGGTTTTTCAGATTGCTTAAGATACGCAGCCATTCCATATTCATCTCCAACTACACAGGGGAACGGAGCAGATAGAGCTGCGACTGGGAAGCGTCACCTTCCCGTCCAGAGCGCTTTCTTTCAGACCCTGCCTACCTGCAGGCAGATGGACCGGAGGGTTTTCTGCTTCCTTTCAACCAGATAACTTCCTAAGTGGAGATGGCCTGTAGGTAGCAAATGCAGGATTTTGTTTACTTTCATCATGTCATGTGGTGGTCAGACTGCTCGCTGGTGGCCTCGCTTTAGAAGGTTTTCATCAAGCCCCGCCCTTTCTCTCTCATAGTCTTAATGCGTCTGGACCACTGGGGAAAATATTTTTCTTTTCAAAAAGCAGCCCCTTCAGTCTGCGTTCCCAGTTCATTTTGCAGGCGCATTCGCCCTTCCTAGTTTGCAGCAATTAAAGATAACGGAGTGTAAAGTCATTAGACCCAGAATTAGAGCAGCCAGCAGCTGGCCCAGTGTAAAAATGTCCCAAGTGTAGCCCCTCCCACCGCAGAGCCTGTTTCTAACGTACCTGCCATTCGTGGAAGTCGCCTGGGTTTTGTAAAGGAGAATTTTTTGGACTCAAGCTGTCATCTTCAAGCACGCCAACTTCAGGCAGTGTTTTCTACTGCAAACCTCCACATCCTGGAATCAATCACACTGACAGGGAAAGGATAAATGCTCCTTTATAAGCCAACATGTATCCAAATTAAGCCCCCTTACCTTTATCCAGACCCTTTCACAAACAAGTTCTGAGTTTTTAGCCAATTGATCCTCTACTTTCCTTCTTTAGTCCCTCTCAGGGACGCCTCCATCCCCGGCTCCCCTAAAGGTAGAAGATACTCGAGCATGCTGCCAGGGGAGCTGGATGGTGAAACACCTGAAGATCTCATATCGCCTCTCAAAACACTGTCGGACTTGCTTTCTGCTTTATGATGTCCGTAGTTGTTCTAATATTAAATGCTTTGAATTTCTTTATTGGTCAAGTTATTTTAACTTGGGCAAGGCATACAGTGATAATCCCCTGGCATGCCACGATTCCAGCTCTTCCCACCCCCTTGAAATCTTACCTCCCACCGTGGTGGTTTTGTAAACCCACAGTCAATTGGATTTGCCCAGAACCTCCCCTACAGGCGCTCCCAGCCCAGGATCCAGGAGACCCGCAACATGGTACAGTAACTCTTCACCAACCGTCATCAATAGGTTTTCTTAGAAACTACAACTTTAAGCAAAATGAGGTATAATGAAACTAATTTTGGCTGGGCAAGGTGGCTCAGGCCTGTAATCCCTGCACTTTGGGAGACCGAGGCAGGCGTATCACCTGAGGTCAGGAGCTCAAGACCAGCCTGGCCAACATGGCAAAACCCCATCTCTACTAAAAATACAAAAATTAGCCAGGCCTGGTGGCGTGTGCCTGTAATCACAACTACTCGGGAGGCTGAGGCAGGAGAATCGCTTGCAGCCAAGAGGCAGAGGTTGCAGTGAGCTGAGATCGCACCACTGCACTCCAGCCTGGGCGACAGAGCGAGACTTCGTCTCAAAAAAAGAAATGGCAACTTTAAGCAAAATGATATATAATGAAACTAATTTTACTATAGGCTAATGGATGTAAACAAGAGTTAAGTTCCCACGGCATATTGCTGGCCATAAAAACTTCACCAAACTTTAGAACTTTAAACCAAACACTTCTAATATTAAACATTAAATAGACATGAGTTAGTTATACATACATTTAAGAAAAATTACTAAAAACAAGATAATTACCCAATTTTTGGTGACTCTGAGTGCTGGCAGTTGCAGCGATGGTGAGTTATATCACAGAATAAATGTTTGCAAAGCAAAAATTGTCAGGAGCGCCTCCTTCCACCACGCAGGTCAAACACCAGAATGAACGGGCTCACTGGGCACTTCCGTACAGCGTCATTTACTATTGTGCATTTGTATGGTTATGGGAGGCAATTTTTATTTTACAATAATTTTTTATTCATTCCTTCTTTCATTTTCCAACTCAGTTATTCCAGTTTAAGGTGGTGGGCGACCAGAGCCTATCCCAACAGCTCAGTGTGCAAGGCAGGGACCACCCTGGACAGGATGCCCTCCCATCACAGGGCACACTCACCCCCCACACACACTCAGACTGCGACCAGACACCAACAAACCTCACCTGCACATCTTTGGGGCGTGGGAGGAAACCAGAGTGCCCAGAAAGCTCTCCGACCGGGAGGACGTCTAGACGGTGCACAGACAGTGGCCCCAGCCGGGAATCAATTTTTTTCTCAATGTTATAACAAAATGACATTGAATAAAACGATGCTATTCAAGGACCCACTGTGTGTGAAATGGTGCATGAGGGCATTTTCTGGGAAAAAGCGTGGTTACCTCGCATCAGATTCTCCAAGGGACTACAGCCCCCCTGAGAATTTCATCTCTGCCACTAGAGTGTGTTTTGTAACCCAAGCCATGTGCCACCCTGGTGCTGCTGTTGCCCAGGCAATAATTTATGTTTCAGAGATACTCCAGGGACGGCATCACCTTCTCCTACCAAGCACAACTCCCTGCGCCGGCTGAACGCTAGGGTTTCAGCTGATCGGAGGGAAACTGAATTTCCCCAAGAGAGGGCTTGGTCCTTTCTGAAAGGAAAGGCTGACACCCCCAAGATGAAGTCCTTCACCCCCAACCCCCTCTTGAGAGCTAGAGGCCCCACGTTTCAGGGGCTAGCGCTTCCCACCACACGTGTTAGATGGCAGACACTGGCCGCCGCAAACCCACTTTGTTTACAGTTGCTGAGAAACGGCTTCCCCTGGTGAGGGTCCAGCCTTCTCGTAACAACTGTCCCGCGGCTATTCCAGGCGGGCCACCACAGGGGCTCCAACAGGGCCGTCTCCCACTGCCTGACGGAGCCTTCGCTCTGAGCAGCAGCTGCAGCAGCAGTGAGCTCACGGCGCTGGCCGGCCGGGCCGAGGTGCTGTGAGCCACACAGGCCGGCCCACGTCACCCGTGCAGCCGGGCCAGATGGTTACCTGGCTACCGCTGCAGGGGCCTGTGGCGACTTGGACAAGGGCTGCCTCTAATGTGCGATGGCAGATTCCCTCTTGCTGGGCTCTGGCGGGTGCCATGTTGTCCCCAGCCCACTTTCGGCCTCTGATGCCCAGCGTGGGCTTCCAGAAGCAGCCATTTGACTGCTCTGCACTGGGGGCCGTGTCTTTTCCTAGGAAGGGAAGGGGAAGCCCCCCCAGGCTGAGCTGTCAAGCCGTGTCTTTTCTTCCCTCGCCCAATGTTAGGACAAACGCTGCCTTTTCGTTTCTCTAAGATAGACGTGGCAGCTACCTCCTCAGCGGGCCCCTTGACCACTGCCACCCCATCAGAGCCACTCTTGGGGCACCGGCCCTTCCTCTGGGAGACTAGAACCCAGTCCCTTGCTGACTTGGTCAACAAGCAGATTAGAGGGCTGAGCAGCCACCACGTCCTCCTCAGAGTCGTGAGTCCTCCTAGGACCAGGCTGGTCCACCACCAAGCCCCTGCTGATTGCCACATGTGCAAATTCTGCAAGAGGACAGAGACGCCGCCAGTGCCCCGGGAAGTGCGGTGCTCCCCCTACTCAGCTCTTCCTGGCTTTCCCAAGGTCGCTGTGTGGGAGGACAGCCTGCAAGGCAGGTGTTTGCAAAAGCCTTGCCAAGGCAACTTGTATTTTTAACTCTCCATCAGCCTACTTAAGTCACACGGCGCCGTTTCCAGCACAGCAGAGTTCAGCCGCAGCCTCGTTAACTGCAGGCAGGTGGGGACAGGTTCAACTGCTCCATGACAAGGATCAGATCCACAGATGACCTGTCTCCCATTAGCAAAGCTTAAAAAGAACTTTCCAGTCCCTTGGCTCAGAAAACAACAGCATTGTTTTGTTAAAGTCTAGCAATAATTCGTTCCCTATGCGGGTATTTGGCCAGAGCTGGAAGCTGCTGTCATCTTACTCCGTTCCCTTATCCATAATTCATGCTTAACGTGGCTGCAGTGTGTCCCCTGAGCTCCTCATATTCCATTTCCATCACACGGCCCTTTTGTAAACCAACCAAATTAGAGTGTTTGTGTCAAATTGCCATATTCTTTCAACATCCAAAAGCCAACCTTTCCCCTTGGTAATACGGCGATATTAGGAGTTCAGCCCGCTTTCGACTCTATTCCTGGCAGATGGCTGAAGAGTATGGACAGAGGTGACCTCCCCTGGCGTCCAGCAGGCTGAGGATGCCGCCCCTGCTCAGTCTTCTCCACCCACGGCCTGTGGCCCTCAAAGGACGAACTTATCAGCTTCCTTCAAATATTTGACTTAGTGTTGATTTCTGCCTAGTTCCTTTTAGTCACTGGTGTCATTTCTGATGGAAGGAAGGCTGTTAACCCGTGTACGTGGTTATCACTCACCTGCTGACCAGGTTTCAGGGCAAACACATCACCTCCTTCAGGCTGCTAGAGTTGAGGTGCCCCAGTCATTCCATTCCTGTCCCCATCCAGGGATGAGAGGGGGCTTGCTGCACTTGGGACAGGGTCTGTGAGGCCAGAAATCCCCTCGTGGGCACGCCCCATCGGCCAGCAGATAACAAGAGCCATTTCTGAACCACCTGCCTCCAGCCCGAGGCACAGACCGCAGTGCCCAGATGGTGGGGCTGACTGAGATCCGTGCCCGGGGCAGCAACCCTCGGTCTGTGTTGATCAAAGGCCAGCAGCCCCACAAGACGCATCAGCCTGCCCCTTCTGGGATCAGGTTTGCACCAACTCATCGCCAACCCTGATCGTTCCCGGGATGCCACAGACAATGCCAGGAGCCGGGCAGGAGAGCGCCAGGTGATTTCTGCATCCACGCTCTGGCGGAAATGAGCCCTAACCCTGCCAATTAGAGGACACCCTCAGTGATTATGCACAAATGAGCTTTCTTCTGAGCAGTGTGGACTGGGCTCACGGTAACTCAACCTCATTTTAATTAGCTGTTTAGATAAGCGGTGGCCCAAAGCTTCAAAGACATCAGGCAGGCCTCAGTGGCCCAAACAGGGGAGCACATTTGATGTGTGCCCATCGTGGCCACATCTCCCAAACTAAAACTCGGGGCACAGGGGCTGACGGAAGATGATTTATTTATAAAAACACTTTACGTTAATGAACTGCCTTTGTTGAAATGAACCAAATCAAAGCAAACTGGGACAGCCCCAGAAAACCTGAGGCCTGCAGTGGCAGTGCCAGTATGCCCTCCTGCTCAGTGGTACCACAGATCGTCCTGCTCACATGGGCACGGCAGGGCAAGGTGCATGGGGGCTGGAAGAGGGAGGTTCTTGCAGTAAGGCCGATCCCCACCAGGCTGTCCTAGTGACTTTCTAGGTGCCTTCCGCCAGCAGCCAGGGGACCAAGAAGCTCCCGAGCAGCAGGGGAAGGCAGGGAGAGCAGGTGAGGGGGATCACGTCCCACTTCCCTCCAGAGGAAACTGCCTGGGATCCACCTGGAAGTCCCGGGGGCTTTGTCTCTCCCACTATGTAGTTAGCGCTTGAGGGCAGGAAACAGACCTCTGTCTTTACCCTGCAGCTTTTTTTTTTTTTTTTTTTTTTTTTTTGAGACAGTCTTGCTTCGTCGCCCAGGCTGGAGTGTAGTGGTGTGATCTTGGCTCACGGCAGCCTCCACCTCCCGGGTTCAAGCGATTCTCCTGCCTCAGCCTCCTGAGTAGCTGGGACTACAGACGCCCACCACCACGCCCAGCTAATTTTTGTATTTTTAGTAGAGACAGGGTTTCTCCATGTTGGCCAGGCTGGTCTCGAACTCCTGACCTCAAGTGAGTCGCCTGCCTCGGCCTCCCAAAGGCACAGGCATGAGCCACCCACCGTGTCTGGCCTGCCCTGCAGCTTTGAGTGTTGAATGGACTCCTAGACTGAGAAGCAGAGTTCCAGAGGTGATTTCAGACCATGCAATTTCACCTCCCTGGAGAGACTGAACCTGCCTCCAGCCACCTACCTGCAGAGAGCAGAAGCCTCAGGAGAGCCTGGGGTGGCACACGCTGCTGTCTGGTGTCTACTAGGCTCTGCCAGGTGCTTACAATGACAATGACAGCACAGAGTCAAGAGCCTCTCAGCCGCAGCTTGGCACCTACCCAGGAGGTCGTGCGCATTAACCAAAAGCTGAGCCTCCCCAGGCCGCACTCACTTTCCCGGGGCCATTCGCCCGCTCCCTGTGTAGCGGGTCACCTGGCCCTTTAGCTCCCTGTGCTGCTTGGCTGTGTTTTTAAATTCAAGTCCTGACTTTCAGTCATCCTAAGCAGCATCCCATGGACTCCCTGGTGTGGGGTAAAGTTACTTTTTTTCTTACATGTATTAAAACAGGAATACACCTGTTGAAGTCAATATTCATCCATGGAACACCCAGAACCCTCAGTCACCTCTCCAGGGGGCAGGGGTGTGGGAGCCCTCGGGGAGCAGGTTAGACGCAGCTCAGCACTGTGGGAACGCATCCAACAATAGTGTTTCTGCCTGCCGTGCCCACCATTGCCTCAGAAGTGACAACGGTCCACAAGCACGTGGCCAGGGGTCCCTGGTCTGAGGCTGAGAGAGGAGGCTCCCCCTGCAGCCACTCCCCTGCCTAGGGTTCCCGCTGGGACCACACCAGGCTCAACGCTAGAGTGGAGATGGGGCATCTCAGCACCATCTGGGCTCCGTGCGTTTGCAGCCTTAAGCACAAGTCACGGTCCCCTAGAACAGTGTCCGGGGCCTGTGCTTATGATGGGCTGTACCGAATGAACTCCCCCAGCCTTTAATGTAGAAGGGGTAGGGCCAGGCGCTACCAGCACTTTGGGAGGCAGAGGTGGGTGGATTGCATGAGCTCAGGAGTTCAAAACTAGCCTGGGAAACATGGGGAGACCCTGTCTCTACTAAAAAAGTACAAAAATTAGCCAGGCATGGTGGCGGGTGCCTGTAGTCTCAGCTACTCGGGAGGCTGAGGTAGGAGGTTTGCTTGAGCCTGGGAGGCGGAGGTTGAAGTGAGCTGAGATTGCACCACTCCACTGCAACCCTGGGTGACAGAGTGAGACCCTATCTCAAAAAATAATAAATAAAATATAAAATAAAATAAAATAAATGAAGGGGCATGCTGGGGGGTGGGGGTGGGGAGCAAAAAAGCAGAGGCGCCCTGAGCTTACTTCTTCTGTTTGCAAGTTTCCACCTGGAACCTCACGTGGTGGACACTGAAGCCTGATAAACGTCACCATTTACAAAAAGTGGAGTGAACTAAGAACCCTGCCGCACACAGCTGCTTCCACGTGCATGCAGTGGCTCTGGAAGGATGCCTAAGGCAGGAGCTAACACATCTGCCTTTGAGAAGGGAAGACGGGGGAGGCTGGGGGATGGGGGTCGCGGGCAGATTCCACGGCCTGCCTTTTCGAAGCTTTTAAATTCTGAACTGCAAGGCGTGGGCTTGTAGTAAAGGTAAAGCACGCTTCAAATTAAAACTATGAATGAAAACACCAAGAAGGCAAATAATACCTATTGCCAGTTATCAAGAGAACTCTCTTGGAATACTAGAACGACGCCACCCAGGGAGGGTCAATAAAGGAACTAGGCGTTTCGTGGACTTCAGCACCAGAAAGAGGCCTGGAAAGCAAATGCTAGCCCACCTTGCACAGCGATGGGAACGCATCACCCAGGGAGATAGGGAAGTTGCACTCAGCGGGCCGTTGCAACGCCCATAGGACACAGCTCTCCAAGTCCCACAGGTGCCAGCCCTCTGCTGACTCCAGGCCACCACGACCAACAACCTTTGTTTCCCTGCCCCCAGCTCTAGCCAGTCCCCAAATTGAAAGGTGATAACTGAAGTTGTCAGGGATCCTTACCTACCCAGCTTCCACTGCCGCTGCTTGCTGGAAGGCTGTAGGGCCCTGGGCCCTGCAACTGGCCCAGGACTGCCAGAAAGAGCCAGGGGCACAGCCATGGCTGGCAGACCACACTGCCCCTCCCCCAATCACCGTGAGGAGCTGGGGGTCCCGGGTCAGCCAGCCAGGCCCTGACTCCCCGCGCCCACTGACCAACGGAGCGGGTTCAGGTGCGTCCCCACAGCAGGGACAGGCTCGGGTGCATCCCCGCAGCAGGCACAGGCTCGGGGCTGCAGATGTTTTCTCCATCAGTCTACAGATGTGGCTGTGACAGTGAGGAGGCCCCACTGCCTGAGTCCTGGCCACCTCAGAAGCCCACACAGGGCAGGAGCTGCTTCTCCTTATTTTACTCCCTAGGATGGAGAACACGGATGGGTTCCCAGGATTTACATAGGAAGAACAGCAGATACTTTACCCAAAATAAACAAGAAAGAACAGTTCTTCTGCCAAACCAACCTTTTAATACTATTTAGGCTAGGTGTGGTGGCTCACTCCTGTAATCCTAGCACTTTGGGAGACTGAGGCAGGAGGATCGCTTGAGCCCAGTCGTAAGAGACCAGCCTGGGCAACATATTAAGACCCTGTCATTACAAAAAATGTAAAAACTAGCCGGGTGTGGTGGTGTGTGCCTGTAGCCCCAGCTCCTTGGAAGCCTGAGGCAGGAAGACTGCTTGAGCCCAGGAGGTCAAAGCTTCAGTGAGCCGTGATCCCGCCTGCACTCCAGCCTAGGTGACAGGGGGAGGCCCTGTCTCCAAAATAAAAATAAAATAATTTCATCATTGCTTGTTCCTCATAGTCAGTCTCATGCTGCCAAGTGACCAGGCCACTTTAATGGACGTGAGGAACTGACAGAGGCCACATTAATTAACAAACCTTTTTTTTTTTTTTATTGGAGATAAAAACAGCGAAGTCCCACATACCATACCCTACAAGACACAAGGTGCGCAGACGAGCCTTGGCTATGTACCGGCGCTGCAGGAAGAGGCTGTCCGCCGGGCCTGGGCTGCTCCAGCTACGCGGGGAGGCGGCCCCATTGCAAAGTGCAGTTTCTCCGCGGAGGTGGCGGTGGGTCAGTGGCAGAGGGCCATGGTTTCCATGTTAAGGAAGCGGACGTGCATCTTGGTCTCAATGTCGATCCCCTGCCAGATCTGGAAGGGACGGAGCAGCGTTAAGGGCACGTTCCCGCCGCCACCTCACACCTGACCAGGCCCCCCGGTCCTCGGCCCTTCCCACCTACCGTCTCCTGCCACCAACTGTGATGTTCCAGGCAGGTGAAAACCAGAGGGCTGTGTTTCAAGACTATGAGCTAAGCGAGGACGAAAAACTTCCATCTGTCTTTTTTGCTGGTTAATTTGGCTCTGACATTTGGATTCTTTCTGAGATTGTCACAGCAAGTTATTATTAAGTACTGAATCCAAGCTCTTAGCTCCAAGGCATTTGAATCTCACCCACCACTTCAGGTTCTGTGATTTTCATGCAAATTACATAACCCCATTAAGTCCCCTTCCCCAACCTGTGCCGCCCACTTCACAGAACGTTGGGGGCTCTAATGGACCCGTCCTCATCATGGACGCGTTTTGTAAACTGTTAGGGGCTGTGCGGTCACAAGGCTTCGCTAGGCCATCGTCATCAATTTAAGGATCTCCACAGTGTGGTCTTTACAACCTCCCTGGGATAAGGGATCACGTGCATTCTAGAAAGACAAACTCAAGCCCAAAAAGGTCATTTCTACCCAAAGATCACATGGTGGCCCCATTCCTGGTGCTGGTACTGCTGTTACAGTCCAGCCTGGCCAGAACCTTGGAGTGGGCCTTCGTGCTACAAGGCCATGTATGTACCCCAGTGCTCCCAAGGCTATGCCCGCCAGCGCCTTAGCAAGTCAGGGCCCACGGGGGCCACAGATGGTAGGATGGGGGGGTGCCAACAGGAACGGAGGGACGTGGTGGGCGGGTGACTTCTCACTGCTTCCCGCTTATGTAAGAATCAAACTCTCAAGCTGTCACTCTCAGCATCTCCGGGGACAGCCACGAGGCTGGTAACGGGGGAAAGTCAGAGCCCCGTGGGCACCCAGGCGACAGGGAGGCCTTGGGACATTTCCGGCCGCAGCCCCCAGGTACTTCCTGCTTTCCTGAGCCTGTTCTGGGTGTCATGGGGTGTGCAAAGACAGCTCTGGTCCCAGTCGAGCGGCCCCATCCTTGCTGGATGCACGAGGCATTCCCAGGGTAACACGCATGGACACTCACGGTGGTTTCTGCTAAGTGCCAGGTGGCAACATGGTCGCTGAGGGCATTGGAAGGAATCAGGGAATGGGAAGGGCCAGCTGGTCCCAAAAGATCCCTCAGGGGTACAGGGACAGGCTTGGGGAGCACTAGGGGCCTGGCAGAGGCCAGCCTTTAGGGGAAGGAAGTTGGTTTCGGAGGCAAAGAAATTCATTCTACTCAGCCTGAAGCAGCGATACTTCCTCCCCAACCCTCCCTCCCTCCTCCACCTTCTAGCTCTTCATTCTGTTGTCTTGCTCTGGCGGGCGTCACCTTCTCTGGTGACCGGGTCCCCAGCATAGGCCAGAGTGAGTCTGAAGCACAAGTGCAAATTCTGCCTTTTCCCAGTCTGCCCGCCCTGCCAGCCCCGGGGTGGGCCATCTGCACGGCAGTCCACGGGGCCTGCCGACCTCCGCAGTCTCCTTTCAGCCTTTCATCACAGCCAGGCCCTGCTGCCTGCCTCTCCTCTCTCCTGCCGGTTCTAACCGTTGGCTGCCAGGCTTGGCCTCGGCTCCATGGGGCTGTGACCCTGAGGGCCCAGTCCCCCAGTCCTGCTCTAGGCTCCTTGGCCAGAAGCCGTGATCCTTCCTTCCCTAATCCTCTCTCCTCTCTTGGTCTCTTGCTCCCCTGACTTCCTTGTCTTCCTCAAGTACCCCAAAAGCACTTGGGAACACTGTTGTGATGCCCAGGGCCGAACTGCGGGGAGGGGGATGGGGGGAGGGGGATGGGGACAGGGGTCCTCTCCCTGCCACAGGGCATCTGATTATCAAAACGGCCAGGAGCAGGTCTTGATTTGCAAGGCCAGCACTGGCCTAACCACCATCCACTAGCAGAGGCTGGAGGAGCCATCAGGGAGGAGGGCAGAGTGGGCGGCCGCTTTACGAAAGTGTCATTTTAGGACACAGCGAGGAAGGCCCGGGCGCAACGTGTGCAGTCAGCTCCAAACTGAGCTTCCGAGAAACACTATTTCTAAAGACACAGAAAGTTCCCAGAATCCCTGTTCCAACTACAACAGGGCCTTTTTTTTTTTGAGATGGGGTCTCACTCTATCACCCAGGATGGAGTACAGTGGCGCAATCTCAGCTTACTGCAACCTCTACCTCCTGGATTCAAGCGATCCTCCCGCCTCTGCCTCCCGAGTAGCTGGGATTACAGGCGCCTGCCACCACGCTTGGCTAAGTTTTGTATTTTTAGTAGAGATGGGGTTTCACCATGTTGGTCAAGCTGGTCTCGAACTCCTGACGTCAGGTGATCTGCCCGCCTCAGCCTCCCAACGTGCTGGGATTACAGGCATGAGCCACCGCGCCCAGCCTACAACGGGGGTTACTTCTGAGAAGCGGCAGTGGGACCGCAGGTGGGAGAGAATTTGGTTTACACTATATACCCTTTTGTACTGCTTACATTGTTTTGACTACGTGTGAATATTACCTTTTCCATAAAAATAAGAAAAACCAGTTTAAATTGCTTTAAAGGCCATGCCCAGGTTGACCCCTTCCTACTGAGATGTTGGTCACCCAGGAAGCCTGTCCCTTGCTACTGCAGGTAAAGAGCCATGTCCCCTCCTGACCAGTGGGCCACACGAGGTCTTCAAGGGTCCCCCGAGGCTCCCACGCCCAGGCCACCCACCTTCAGGAAGTCCTCGAAGGTGATCCCCTCGTACACCTGATCAGGCTCCTGGGGACGGAAGCACAGGGTGGACAGTGAGTGGCGCAGGTCCCCACACAGCTTCCGCAGGGGGACGGTCCACTGGCCTCCCCTCCCCACCAATACCCAAATGTAAGTTGTTGAGGCTGTTTGGGAGGAATCACAAGAAGAGGAGAACGTTCTGGATCGTCTGCCTCCAGCATGGAGCCGGTCACCCTGAACCTCCAATATCCTCATTCATGGGCTTGAGGGTGGGATGGGAGCCGAGCGTCGCTCACCAGGGCCCTGGCAACGTGTGGCTCAGAGCAGCCTCCCTCCCCTCCCCCAGCCCCCCAGGGAGAATCCGAGGTGTGGGTGACATGAGGGCATGGGGCTCTCCTTCCCCACTCAGCCCACCTCACCACCAGCCCCCCAGCAGCTGGACCACCAAGATGCCTCCTGTACCCGCCTAGGTCTGGCCTCCTCATGCCTGCGCTGTGCTGATAAGAAGATTCCAGGCTAATCTAAGCTCACAGACCTCAGGGGAGAGGTCAGGGAAACACAGGGCCAGCCTGTGAGGCCCACGCCTCATGCCTCGTGAGTCACCGTGATAACTCAGGGCCACTGGGGAGGGCAGGGCCAGAGGGTGGCCACAAGGAGCCTCTCCCTGCTGAGTGGGTTTGGCGATGCCAGTCTCCATCGCCTCTGCGTCCTCCCTGCTCTGGGGATGACACCAGGTGCTCCTGCCCCTTTCACCGATACTCCAGGATCCCACCGACAAGCCTCCAAAAACCTCACCCTGCAGCTCGCTTTGTGACAGCGAAAACCCGCTGACATCCCAGGTGCCCGTCAATAGAAGGCGAGGGACATAAATCTCGGTCATCCACGCTATTGATTCCCACGCAACCATTAACCATTTATGCCTAGTGTTCCATTACTGGAACGCTAAGCTGTGGGAGTTACTTATATCCTACTGGTCAAGGTCATCGCCAAGGTCTGATTGCAAAAATTGAAAAAGCTGCAACCTCAGGCAAAAATGGGTTAAGAAGGGGTTGATCTGTATGTCTCACTCTGGAAAAGGCTCTGAGATGTGTACCCAGCAGATAAAGAACAAAAAACAAAACCCAACAAGCAGAAAGATGTCTGCAGGTCTGTGCACGCAAACCTTTCCTCAGACTGATAACCAGACCCCCACCATCTGCCCTGTGGGTGTGTGGGGTCATACGGAGAAAATGGGAAGCCACATCGGTTCGATTATGTTTTGCATACATCAAAAATAAAAGACATGCATGTATACATTGGTATATGTAGGAAAAAAACCACCGAGAGGGAGTCCCTTTAGGGAAGAGGACCTGGGCTGGTGGGGGAGCAGGAGAGGCTCAAAGCTCTCTCTGTGACTGTCTGAAATTCTGTACAACGTGTGTTTAAGAACACAGGAGGCACACTCTAAGCATGTTATGCACCAGGCATGTATGTCCCAAGTGCCTTCCAAGTGGTATTGTTTTGTTTTCATTTGTTTTGTTTTGTTTTTGAGACAGAGTCTCGCTCTGTTGCCCAGGCTGGAGGAGTGCAGTGGCGCGATCTTGGCTCACTGTGACCTCTGCCTCCCAGGTTCAAGTGATTCTCTTGCCTCAGACTCCCAAGTAGCTGGGATTATTACAGGCATGTACCACCATGCGTGGCTAATTTTTTAAATTTTTTAGCAGAGACAGGGGTTTCACCATGTTAGCCAGGCTGGTCTCGAACTCCTGACCTCAAGCAATCCAACCGCCTGGGGCTCCCAAAGTGCTGGGATTACAGGTGTGACCAAATGCTATTGTTAGCATTTAATGATAGATGCCAATCTCACAACCGGCCCTGAGTTGGGTTCTAGTCTCTCTCCTGTATTACAGATGAGGGACACAGAGGGAGCTGCCTGTCCAGCTGGGAGCATCTAGCTGCCTCCAAGTCCTTGAGGGCTGTTTCTACTGGCAGGACTTTGCAGGCTCTTTAGTTTCCTCTTTATACTTAAAAAAATTTTGGCCAGGCACAGTGGTTCACATCTGTCATCCCAGCACTTTGGGAGGCCAAGGCAGGAGGACTGTTGGAGGCCAGGAGTTCGAGACCAGACTGGTCAACATAATGACATCTCTTTTTAGCAAAACATCTCTTTTTTAAAAAACTTTTAAAAATTAGCTGGGTGTGGTGGTGTACACCTGTAGTCCCAGCTGCTCCAGAGGCTGAGGTAGGAGGATGGCTTGAGCGCAGGAGATGGAAGCCGTAGTGAGCTATGATCACACCACTGTACCACTGCACTCCAGTTGGGGCGACAGAACGAGACCCTGTCTCTTAAAAAATAAATAATAAATTAAAAAAAAAATGAAACCCAGCAGTTCTCGGCTAGCCTGGGCCAGCCCTGTCCCTAATGGCTCCTTCCTCCCTGTCTTCCCACTCACGGGCACAGTGGCTGCCCTCCCTGCCGGGCCTCCCTAGGTTCCCAGGCTGGCCAAGGGGAGCTAATTATAGAAAAGGCCCCCATGGCCAGAGTCTGGGGCTGGAAAGGGGGTGATCGGTGCAAGGAAGGAGGGCGGGGAGTTGGGGGAAGCAGCCCCGGCTGAATGCCCAGTGAAGCAGTCCCCCCATCAAGCATCCATGGGTGTGACCTCCTGAGAAAGCACTCTCAAAAGATCCACAGGCCGGCGCGACGGCTCATGCCTGGAATCCCAGCACTTTGGGAGACCAAGGTGGGTGGATCACTTGAGGTCAGGAGTTCGAGACCAGCTGGCCAGCATGGTGAAACCCCGTCTCTGCTAAAAATACAAAAATTAGCCGGGCGTAGTGGCACACGCCTGTAATTCCAGCTACTCGGGAGGCTGAGGCAGGAGAATCACTTGAACTCAGGAGGTGGAGGTTGCAGTGAGCCGAGATGGTGCTACTGCACTCCAGCCTGGGCGGCAGAGTAAGACTTGGTCTCGGGAAAAAAAGAAAAAAAAGAGAGAGAGACAGATCCGCCTCAGTCAATAACTGCCTTTGGAAGTCCATTAAAGTGGGGACCAGGGATTGTTTGTCTTTGGCGGATGGCACGGTCAGAACGGGAAGTGTCCTCAGAGGCTGGGAGGGATTGAACCGACGCAGCTGCCCCTTGCCCCCAGCTCAGGCCGCATGCACAGCTCGGTCTGGGTTTATCTGGCCGAGGTTTACACCAGAAGGTATTTTAGGAGCACCCGGAGGACCCATGAGTGAAGAAAGAGGTGGAGATGAGCCCTCTGCCTTGCAGCCGTCTTCCTGGTTCCAGGGCTACCCCCACCTCATGGGGGCCCGTAGGCAGCGGGTACGCCCCGGAGCCCGGCCTCCGCCCCGAGATGCCTCTGCTTCCCAGGCTGCGGGGGTTTTATGCAGATCAGCAGCTGGCAGCTGCCAGCAATTTCACTACAGCAAATTAAGAAAACTGTCGCCAATTGAAACTGGAGTGGGACAGGGAGTAATTTGAACAAGGAGAGTGTAATTAAATCAAATGGGAATTTGGCCCGACAACCCGGCGGGGGATCCCTGCTCTCCCCACCGAGGTCACAAGCCCTCTCCCGTGGTGGTTAGTCTGCTGAGTGCGGAGGTTTCACCCAAGCCAGAAGCTTCCCCCTGGGCTCCAGAGGCAAACAGATAAAATACACGTCAGGAAACCAACCGACCACAGCCCCTGCCCCTGGGGGCAGGCCCAGGCCGGTGGCCTCATGTCCCTCAAGGACAGGCTTGGGGCACAGAGAGCAGGATCCAGCATGAACGCCCCTCCACTCCAGGCTGGGCAAACACAAAGCCGTCAGGGTGTCTAGAGACGCAGCCACTTTAGACACACAGGGGCAAAGGGCTGACTGCATCAGTGGGGCCATCCAAACCCCTCAGGGAACACACGACACCCAGGTGGTCACCTGCCTGCCTGAGTGGTCCCCAGAGGCTTAGAGCCTTAGGGCTGGGGGCTGGTGGGGCTGCACCTGTCCTTACAAGAGAAAATCCACCCTGCACAGGAAAGATCATAAGGTCTAGAGGATTCTCTATGCTCTCTGAGTCTCAGTTTTCCCACCAGTCAAAATGAGGCAAGATGTAATAAATGATGAACATGGAAAGGCCACTTCCCTCTCTTCTGTGTCATTTACACACCAGCCCCCACCTCGGCTCCTCCACCGGACTCCATGCCATCGGCTCTTGTCAGCCCCCAATAGGGCTCCCTGCTGACCCCTGCCTTCGAGGCCAGAAGTTGCCTCTGAGTCATTTGTTAAGAAATAAACCAATTAAGGCCAGCCTGTGCCATGTGCTACCTAGGCCTGGCCCCAGGGTCAAGTGCTGCTGTGAGCACTGACTGAGGCCGGGGTGGGGGATCAGGGGGCTATGCAGGTGGGGGCTCCTGGACCCCAAAGCCTGAGATCTCGAACTCTGCTTCCCTGCCTTATGCAGCTCTCTGGGGACTTGGACCTTCAGTCTCCTGGGGGACAGGAAGGGCTGGGAGAGGTTCCTGAGCCCCACAGGCCACAGGTAGAGCAGGTGGCAGAATACACCTGGCCCCTGCCCCATGAGGCCTTCCAGAAACGCAGACCATAAGCGGGAAAGGCACTGCGCGTCTCGGGAGGGCTGCAGGGGCGCTCACCATCTGCCCCATGCACACGCTGGCCGCCTCCATCATGGCCCCGTCGGCGATGGAGCGAGCGGACTCCTTCTCGATGTGAGGGTTTCCCGACAGCAGCTCCTCGACCACCTGCCAGGTGGGGCGGAAACAAACGGTGACCTTGGGCCTCCATCAGGGTCGTGGGGGGCAGAGGGGGAAGGCACCAGGAGCCCCGGGCGGGCCAGAGGAGCATACTTTACATTTCGATATTCTTCCAGAGTGATGCGGCCGTCGCTGTCCGAGTCGTACATGTGGAACAGAACTAGGGTGGCAGGGGAGAGAGGGGACTCCGTCAGGCGGGGCCTGGCCCCTGCCACCCCCTGAAATGTACACTAAACTAAGCAAAAGACACCAATAACCAAACCTCAATGCCAAAGCCAGAGGGGTCAGGGCATGAGCTGTGGGACCAGACTGACTACTTCCTACTGGGTGACCTTGGGCCCGTGACCTAACTTCTCTGAGCCTCAGTTTCCTCATCTGTGAAATGGGAATAACAACAGTGTCTACCTCGTGGCCTTAGGAGGGCTGGGAGCTAGCGCTGTGGCGTTAGGGCCTGGCAACTGCCCCGTGAGCATGAATATCACGACAGTAAGCGTTACCCGTTAACACAAGTCAAACGGTGTCGAGTTCAAAATATTGTTCCCACAGCCCTGGAGGGCACCATCATCTCACCCATAGCAGGTCACGGTCCACAGTGCTTCTGATCTGGGCCCGACTGATCTAACATGGGCAGCCCCAGGCCTGGCATCAGGGAGGCGATGGCCGGGAGGGGGCCTCTCCATGTTGTTCCCAGCACGGCCTTGGGAGCTGGAGCTCTCCCAAGTCTTCTGTGTTGGCATTTTTTTTTTTAATGTATTTATTTTTTCAAGATTTAGTCTCGCTCTGTCACCCAGGCTGTAGTGTAGTGGCACGATCTGGGCTCTCTGCAACCTCTGCCTCCTGGGTTCGAGAGATTCTCCTGCTTCAGCCTCCTGAGTAGCTGGGATTACAGGTGCACGCCGCCATGCCCAAGTAATTTTTGTGTTTTTAGTAGAGACAGGGTTTCACCAGTTGGCCAGGCTGGTCTCAAACTCCCAACCTCAAATGATCCACCCACCTCAGCCTCCCAAAGTGCTGGGATTACAGGTGTGAGCCACCGTGCTCAGCCGGCATTTATTTTTTATTATTGTTATTATTTTTTTCAGAGATGGGGTCTCACTCTGTCGCACAGGCTGAATGTAGTGGTGCAACTGTAGCTCATTGCAGCCTCCATATCCTGGGCTCAAACTACCCTCCCACCCCAGTCTCCCGAGTACCAGGGACCACAGGCACGCAGCACCACTATGCCGTGCTCATTTTTTTATTTTGTAGAGGCAAGTGTCTTTCTCTGCTGCCCAGGCTGAGCCCTGAACTCGTGGCTTCAAGTTATCCTCCCCACTCAGCCTCCTAAAGTGCTGGGATTACAGGAGTGCACCACTGAGCCCAGCTGGCATTTACTGAACACTGACCAGATGCCCAGGTGTGCAAAGCGCTTCACAAACCTCTGTCTCCCTCTCACCCAACCCCAAGAGGCCAGGGATGCCTGAGCCCTGCCTCCCAGACAGACTGTCAAAGCTCACGGAAGTTAAGGCGTTTGCCCACGGCCACACCACTAAGGGACAGGAAACCAGGGATTTGGACCTGAGTCCGTCCTGTTCCACGCCCCTTGGAGCAGACAGGAAGCCAGGCTCACACCAGGGATCCACCCCCGCCACCCGGGCTGTTCCCACCAGCCCCGCATACACATTCCAGTGCTAAATATAGCGAAGTCCCATGTTTACATTTTCTTGATGAGGAGGCTGACCTGGGGCGGGACACAGAGGGATGTCAGGAGTCATGGGAAAGGCCACAGGAAAAGGAGATGTGACTCGGGGCACTGCCTGGGACCTGTGCGGCTGGCCAGCTGGGACCACAACTGAACCCACTCGGGAGCCAGAACATAGTGGGGCTGGTCTCAGGAACCCAGCAATAGCACAGCCCATGGAGGAGGGAGAGGAGGAAACTGACTTTAGGGAGCGCTTCCTGTGTGCCAAAGGCTGACTGTGTGATCTTACCCAGCCCTCAGAACCACGCATGATCGGCATACCCACGTTCTGGGTCAAGGTTCAAGGTCACATGGCTGGTGAGACGGGCCACACTGGAACCCAGGTCTTTGCATCAAGGGCCTTGTTTCACATCCACCGCACAACCCCCTTCTAGTCCCAGGAAGCCACAAGCTGCTGAGGAATGTTTAGGATGAAGGTGCCGGGAACGGGAGACAGCAATGCCAGCCTCACAGGGACGAGGGCTGGTGGCCCCAAGCCCTCCAAGCCCCCAAGCCAATGCACACCCAGCCTCCTGCTGCAGAGGCGCCTTGCGTTCTGAGGTCTTAGGGGAGGCTGCACCCCAGGCCAGGTGTGAGCAAGGGGACTCAGTGGCACGCACATCTCAGCTTCTCCTTCCGGGACAGCTCCACCTGTTCCTCGTCCATGGTGGTGTCGATGGGCCGGAAGTAGGACATGATGGTCAGGAAGTCCTCGAAATTGATCTCATCAGCCAGGCCACTGGGTCCCTTGCGCAGGTTCCTACGGGAGCAACAAGGAGGGTGTTGGAAATAAATGAAGAACTGGATCTTGTCCTCTTGCTACCATTAGCTCCCGAGAACTCCGCTCTCAGGGTGCACACTGGACCCACGATGGCTGCTCTCGCCTTGCGTCTGTGCCCCAAGAACCTGCTTCGTGGCGGGGCTGCAGGCTCCGGAAGCTGAAAGCTCAGCCCTTGCCCTGCCCTCACGGAGCTCATCATCAGGGAGGTGGAAGAGAGAGAGACAACTGCGTGACCGTTGATTCAGGCGGTGACAGAGGGATGCGTGGGTGTGTGATGGTGCACACAGGCCAGCACTTATGAAGAAACCAAGCAATCCAGTAACTCACTGAGTACATCTCCTGATCCTTTCCTTTAGCTCAGGGGTTGGCAAACAGCCCATAGGCCCAATTTGGCCTGTCATCTATTTTCATACAGCCCCTGAACTAAGAAGACTTTTCGGGCTGGGTGCGGTGGCTAATGCCTCTAATCCTAGCACTCTGGGAGGCCGAGGTGGGCAGATCACCTGAGGTCAGGAGTTCGAGACCAGCCTGGCCAACATGATGACACCACGCCTCTAATAAAAATGCAAAAATTAGCTGGGCATGGTGGTGTGCACCTGTAGTCCCAGCTACTCGGGAGGCTGAGGCGAGAGAATCGCTTGAACTCAGGAGGTGGAGGTTGCAGTAAGCTGAGATCACACCACTGCACTCCAGCCTGGGTGACAGAGGGAGACCCTGTCTCAAGAAAAAAAAAAAAAAAAAAAAAGGAAGAAGAGGAAGAAGACTTTTCACAATTTTATCTTAATTTTGTCAGAGTCAGGGTCTCACTCCATTGCCCAGGCTGGAGTTCAGTGGTGCAGCCTCAAACTCCTGAGCTCAAGCCATCCTCCTGCCTTGGTCTCCCAAAGTGCTGGGACTATATATGACAGCCATGTGCCTGGCCGGTTTTCACATTTTTAAATAGTTGAAAAAATGCTTGCCAAAAAAAAAAAAGTCGAATAGTATTTCATGACAAGTGAAAATTACATGAAATTCAAATGTCAGTGTCCATAAATAAAATTTTATTGGCACACAGCCATGCCCATTCATTTATGCTTGTCTGCAGAGCTGAGTAGCTGCAACAGAGACTGCGTGGCCCGCAAAGCCTAAAATATTTACTCCTTGTCTTTTTACAGAAAAGGTTTGCCAACCTCTGCTCGCTCTCACTAGTTCAAAATTTTAGGATGGTGATTGGCTGCAAGCATCTCTAAGTAATCTGTTTATACCCAAATACAAAGTTTGCCAAGGATTGAAAGTTTTGTGGTAAGTTAGGGCAGGTTTGAGACTGGCCGTACAAATGTGCTTTTTGGAGGAGGCAAGAAAGGGCTGGTGTTCTGGGGGATGGGGACACAGGGAGTTCATGCCCCATGCCCGGCACACTGCCTGACACCCAGATGAGGGACTCAGAAATGTGTGGTCCAGCTCAGGTCTTGGCAGTTGTTAATAGCTCGGAGGCCAGGCGCAATGGCTTACGCCTGTAACCCCTGCACTTTGGGAGACTGAGGCAGGCCAATTGCTTGGGCTCTGGAGTTCAAGACCACCCTGGGCAACAGGGAGAAACCCTGTCTCTACAAAAAATTAGATGGGTGCGGTGGTGTGCACCTGTAGTCCCAGCTACTTAGGGGGCTGAGGTGGGAGGATCACTTGAGCCCAGGAGGCCGAGGCTGCAGTGAGCCAAGATCACGCCACTGCACTCCAGCCTGGGTGGCTAAGTAAGACCCTGTCTCAAACGAAAGAAACAAAACAGCCTGGAGATGACTCCAAACCCAAGCTCCTGACCCACTGTCGTCAAACCCTTATCTCTACTGGACTGTGACCATGAGCGCCCGAGGCTGCTGGGGCAGGCTGTCATATGGCTGGCAAGCTCAAGTTTCTGCCACAGCCTCTCACTGTGGCCCTTCGGAAGGGGCAGTGCCTAGCTGGCCCGGGGTGGCTAACAGTTAGTGGTTAGTGCTTGGATATGTTACTTGGGTCCCACCCAGGGCACGACTGCACCTCCATGTAAAGGAATATGTTTGCAATTCTCTCTTTAGAGGTTCATCTACTACTCCTTTTCAGCACCCAGCAAATACACTAACACCCATACGACAGCCTCTAAGTGTCCTGGGAACTCCCACTTTTTTATTTTTCTCTTCCAGGAGATTTTCCAGGGAGAGGTGGGGTCCCAAGTCTGGATTAGGGAAGGCGGATCAAGAAACTGCCCATCTGCGGGATGAGATCTGTCCTTCCCTGGGCTCAGGAAGCCCCATCTTTATGTGTTTTCACAGGTCTCTCTTCTCTCTTTTATCGTATGAAGCTCCCCACCGCTCCTGCCACAGGCTTTAATAACCTCAAAGTTCTCACTGTGGGCGGCAGAGACCAAATTTACAGAGCATAAAAATAGCCCCCGGACTTATCGGGCTGCTCTGAAAGCCCTTCCCACAGCGACTGGCTCACACGTCCTTCCCAAGTGGTTTAGGCTGCAGCAAGAGGGATTAAGATTAGCATGGGTGAAAATGTGATAGACCCCTGGGGAAGGCAGGTGTGTGTCCTTCTCTGGGAACCTTGTGACCGGCACTGCTTCAGCCTCAGGACCCAACTCAAGGAAGGAGGGTCCCTTCCCCTCCGAGTGCTCCCGCAGGTCTGAAGAGACCAACATTCTGGTCTCCAAAGGCAATGACAGCCAGTGCCAAAGAAACCCAGACAGAGCACCTGGAACCAGCCCCACTTGCTCTCCACTCCATTTTTTAAATAAAAGTTTATTTATTTATTTATTTTTTAAGAGATGAGATCTCGCTATATTGCCCAGACTGGTCTTGAACCCTGGCCATACGCAATCCTACTGCCTTAGCCTCCTGGAGTAGCTGGGATTACAGGTGCGTGCCACCACACCCAGCCCTCTAACTCCCATTTCTAAAATGAGCACCAGGATGAAGATCAGTGGACAGAAAACAGGGGCTACATCTAAATCTGCAACCCAGCATGAGGGCAGGCCATTTTCACTCTTTTTGCAAAGATGCCCCCTTAACTTTCCAATTCTTCTGTAAGGAATGGGGCGCCCTGGAGGTGGGGATGGCCTCTGCTCAAAATACCCCTTCCCCAAGACCTGTTCCCAAAGAGTCTTAGGAACAAAGGCTGAGGCTGGTATTTCTTGAAAGGAAAATCCTGTTTCCAGCATCTCCTCTGAAATCCTCCTCCAGCTTCTTCTCAGCATTTACAGGATGTGATGTGAAGCCCTTTTCCAATAGTTACAGGCTCCCAGCTGTAGCCCACGAAGTTGTTCTGGGTGCAGGCCAGAGGAAACCCTTTTTAAAATCATCCCCTCCCTCAGTGACTTCTGGGCCAGCCTTAGTCACTGGCACCTTCCTTTCTCCACACCAGGTTTCTCTAAGAAGCAGCCAGAGGCCGAGGTCCAGGGACCTATAGGGGAGGCTCTCACCACCCCATACCTGGCCACCGCCCTCCACTTCTAGCTCAGCCCAGGAGATCCCTGACCATCTTTCAACGACAGCTCTGTCAGGCAGGGACAATGACAGCTGCCCTCAGCTCCAGACCCGGAGTCTCCTGGATGCCCCCCCACACCCAACCCACCCCCAGGCTCACACCTCTAGTCAGTGCCCTGGGAACCTTCCTTTTCTCTCCTGGCCTCTGCAGCTGCCTGGCCCAGCCCCCACCTTCTCACGCACTCCAAGTGCAGCCGGAATGAGCTTTGCAAAATGCAAATCAGAGCCTGTTGTTCCCCTGCTCAGCACCCTCCTGGGGCCTCCCCAGTTCTCCTGGTAATCCCCAATCCCACCTGGTCTCCCAGGCCTGCAGGGTGGTCTCAGCCACCCACACCAGCCCAGACCTCACCGCCCCTTCCTGCCTAGCTCCCTCCTCAGGGTCCCCACAGGCCCGTCGCGCCTGGAGTCCCCCTGAGATGTGGTCACTTGTTTCAACGTCCAACTTCTGGACACCCGACATTCCCCAATGACTGAGGTCCCTGCCCCCTCCTTCAGGGAGCACCACGCCTGTGCCAGTCCTCCCACAGCTCTGGCCTAAATCAGACCCTCCAAAGGAGGAGGAGGCTACTGCCTCCGTCTGCCTGTCCCTAAGTCTGGCAGCGGCATACCCAGTGCACCCTCTTGTCTTCTGAAAACAGAGAGGCATCTGCCCCAGCCCTTTCCCCACACCCTGTCTCCTGGAGCTCGGCTGTTCATGGAAAACAGCCTGGCAGGTGTGTGCATTCCACCCCAAGAGCCGAAAACACAACTCCTGGGTCTGTCCAGGATCGTGAGGCAGACAGACCCGAGTTGGAATCCCAGTTCCTACAAGTGACAACTGACAGCCAAGTGACCTTGGGTCAAGTTTTTTTTTAAGGAATAAGAGCATACACTAAAATGCACAGATCTTGTGTTTGGACGAACATATGCCCTTGTGAAATCCACCTCTCATCTCATCCACCCTAGAAGTTCCCTCTTCCAACTTTACAACTGGCCAAAGTTGCACCCAAGCCTTCTGGAAACAAGCCTCGTGCCTACACACACCCCCTAAACGTGCACACATGCTCCCTCTCTCGCGTGCGCGCGCACGCGCACACACACATACACATACACACACGCACGCACCCACAGGCACCCCCTGGGCTCTGGTCCCCTGTACCATCTTCCTGTCAGTGCCTCCAACTCTAGGTGCCCTGTCAGGGGCCGCACGCCTCCCACCCTGATGCCTGCTCTGGCTCATCTGGGGACTGGCCTAAGACGCACTGCCCACCTGAGTCCTTTCTCTGAGAACCAGGATTTAAAAGGAGGTGAGGGCACCGGATTCCACTCTGTCTTTGCCACTGACTGTGCAACTTCACACACTTCACAGTCACTTAAGCTCCACAGGCCCCTCCTCTTTGGCACACATGACAACTGGCTGTGAAGATTCCTGCGGTACCAGGTCTCTCACCCCAACTCCCGGATCCAACCCTTCCTCATCTATAACCTCCCAGGTGGCTCAGAGCTGCCCCCTGCTCCCCAGATCCTCGGGGCACCCCTGACCCAAGCCCGGGACCATGATTCACTCCTCCCTGGCCTCCACCTCCCATTCCCACCCCTACAACCAACCAGCAGTCACAGCACCCTCTGCAAAGTGCAAACCTGGCTCACCCACCCCCTCACACCCTCACCTTAAAGTCCGTCAGCGTCCCCCATCTTGGCTCCTGAAGACCCCTGCTGCTGCTGGTCCACAGATGCTGTCCGATGCAGCCTGCCCTCCCCACACCACACTGGCCTCTCTCTGGTCCAGCTGGGTCTGCCTCTCAGCTCCCCAAGCTCCCTGTGCCACAGGGCCTTTGCACACACAGTTCCCATCGCCTGGAACCTTCTCTCCCTGCTTTTCTGGTTTAACTCTTGGTCACTCTCTCGCCAGGCCTTGCCCCATGGGCCACAGAGGAAGGCCCCTGCAACTCCAGGGGCAGCTGAAGGACCCCTCTCCCCGTGAGCAGCACCCCAGTTTCCAGTGGGACCCTGGGAGGCTCAGCACCTTGTCCAGGGTCCCACATCCCTGGCAGAACCAGGGTGAGTGGTTCATCCCTGCACAGCTCAAGACCCATCAGGGAAGCCCCCACGGTCTCATCACCACACCACGCCTGTTCCCATCCTTCCTCTTTCTGGCCATCCTCCGTTTCCCAGCCATCTTTGCAGACATGGGGACCGTGGGGCAAACAGGCTGGCGGGCCTCACTGTGTCTGCCACAGGCCCCAGCAGCATGGGGAGGGTATACCCACCCCTTCATCCCCCCTAGAGTCCCAGACACCTCCAGGCTCCATCCCGGTCACCCAGGTCTTTCACCTTAAACAATACTGGACACTGAGGCTCGAGCTCTGGCCTGTGCCTCAGCTCTGGGACACTGGCCAAAGTGCACACCTCTTTGTAAGCTTCACCACACATCCCCTCAGTGCCCCTCACAGCAACCCTGCTAGGCAAGTGCTATGATTATCTCCACTTTATTTTATTTTGAGACAGAATCTCATTCCGTTGCCCAGACTGGAGTACAGTGGTGCAATCTCGACTTACTGCAACCTCCACCTCCCGAGTTCAAGGGATTATCCTGCCTCAGCCTCCCGAGTAGTTGGGATTACAGGTGTACGCCACCACATCTGGCTAACTTTTGTATTTTTAGTAGAGATGGGGGTTTCACCATGTTGACCTGGCTGGTCTCAAGCTCCTGACCTCAAGTGATCTGCCGGCCTCGGCCTCCCAAAGTGCTGGGATTACAGTTGTGAGCCGCCGCACCTGACCGATTATCTCCATTTTAGAGATGGTGAAACTGAGGCATCCTCCCAGATGGCCCCCAAAATCCCTGCCTCCTGGTAGTCACATCCCTGTGCTGTCCCCTCAAGAAGGGGGTGACCTAGTGACTCACTTCTAACGAAGAGACACAGCAGGAGGAATAGGGTGTCACTTCCGAGATTCAGTTACAAAAAGATAGTGGGATATGTCCCATCGGTTCATTCAGGGCTGCCTCTGGAGGAAGCAAGCCGCCATGCTGTGGGCAGCTCTCTGGAGGGGCCCAGGAGATGCCACCAGCCACAAGGCTGAATCCGGAAACAGAGCCTACCTGGTTGAGCCATGAGGCAAGACCTCAGCCCCAGCTAATGCCTTGGCTGAAGCTCATGAGGCTTTGAGACCCCCAGCTAATTTGCACCCAGGTTCCTTTCCTGACCCAAAGAAATGGTGAGATAATAAATGCTTTCTAGTTTTCCTTTTCCTTTTTTTTTTTTTTTTTTTCTTCTGAGATGGAGTCTTACTGACTCTCGCCCAGGCTGGAGTGCGGTGGCATAATCTCGGCTCACTGCAACGTCCGCCTCCCGGGTTCAAGAGATTCTCCTGCCTCAGCCTTCTGAGTAGCTGGGATTACAGATGTGTACCACCACACCCAGCTAATTTTTGTATTTTTAGCAGAGACAGGGTTTCACCAGGTTGGCCAGGCTGGTCTTGAACTCCTGACCTCAAGTGATCTGCCCATTTCAGCCTCCCAAAAGTGCTGGGATTACAGGTATGACCCACTGTGCCCTGCTAATTCTTTTATTTTTAGTAGAAACAGGGTTTCACCATGTTGGCCAGGCTGGTCTTGAACTCCTGACCTCAGGTGATCCACCCACCTTGGCCTCCCAAAGTGCTGGGATTACAGGCGTGAGCCACTGTGCCCAGCCTTAAATTTTCTTTTTTAAAAAGTCTTATTTTTTAGAAACAGGGTCTCACTCTGTTGCCCAGGCTGGAGTGCAAGCGGTGTGATCATGGCTCACTGCAGCCTCGAACTTCTGGCCTCAAGTATCCTCCCACCGCAGCCTCCCCAGCAGCTGAGACTATAGGTGTGCACCACCATGCTTGGCTATTGTGTTAAACTACTAAGTTTTGGGGTAATTTGTTACATAGCCAGAGACAATGAACACAGAGGCCTAGAGAGCTTGAGTGAGCAGCCCAGTCGCCCAGCTATGAATCCAGAATGGTCCAACCCCAAACCTATGCTCATAACCCCTACCCAGCTTGGCCCCCTCTTCTGGGCATCAGCTCAAAGGGTCATTCTAGGAAACAAGTATCCCGAGATGTTACACAAGACAAGGGTGCCTGCCACTGGGCTGGTTCAGGGGAAAACGCCCACCTGTTGTCGAAGAAGGCACGAACAATTTTGGATCGGATGGGGTTGAGCTCCAGGTCCGGGACATTGTTGAAGTTCTCCTTGCTGGTTTCCAAGAAGGAGAGATACCGGGAAGAGAATAAGGAAAGATAGCAGACGTCAGCTGGCATTTTCATCCTGTATCAAGCTGTATTTTGGATCCCTAACAGGCCCCCACAAGAATAGTTCAGAGTTAGGAGACAGAACTGGAATACGCTTCACTTATCTGCCCCTTCCTCTAACCTTTAGACTGGGCAAGGGCAGGGAGGATTTGGAGGCTCAAGATACTTTTCTTTTTTGAGATAGAGTCTCACTGTCACCCAGGCTGGAGTGCAGTGGTGCGATCATAGCTCGCTGCAGCCTTGACCTACTGGGCTCAAGCAATGCCTTGCCTCAGCCTCCCAAGTAGCTGGGATGACAGATGCACGCCGCCATGCTTAGCTAATTTTTTAAATTTTTTGTAGAGACAAGGTGTTGACATGTTGCCCTGGCTGGTCTTGAACTCCTGGGCTCAAGTGATCCTCCTGCCTCAGCCTCCCAAAGTGCTGGAGTTACAGGTGTGAGCCACTGGCCCGGCCTTGAGATATTTTTGAGAATCAAAGAGGTGGACTGTACATTCATCCCCAAACAAATGCAGAGACGTGGGATTTGTGTCCATTCTGGGGATTCAGAGACTGCCTGAAGCCCATCCTCAAATCCCTAGGTCAGTATTTAGAGCAGTGGGGTGCTGGCTTGGAGCTCTGGAAAACAGTCTGGCAGGTCCTCAAAGGTTAAACATGGAGTATTGACAACCCAGCAACTCCACTCCTAGGGATATGCCCAAGAGAAATAAAAACCTGTGTGTGAATTTCACAGCAGCATTGCTCACCCGTAAAGCAGAAACAACCCAAACATCTGTCAACTCATAATTGGAGAAATAAAATGTGGCCCATGCAATGGAGTTTTTTTGTTTGTTTGTTTTTTGAGATGGAGTCTCGCTCTGCCGCCCAGGCTGGAGTGCAGTGGTGCAATCCTGGCTCACTGCAACCACAATGGAGTATTTTTTAGCCATAAAAAGGAACCAAGTACTGATAGATGCTACAACACAAATGAATCTAAAAAACATGATGCTAAGTGAGCCCGGGCGCCGTAGCTCACACCTGTAATCCCAGCACTGTGGGAGGCCGAGGCAGGCGGATCACTTGAGGTCAGGAGTTCAAGACCAGCCTGGCCAACATGGTGAAACCCCATCTCTACTAAAAATACAAAAATTACCCGGGTGTGGTGGCGCACATCTGTAATCCCAGCTACTTGGGAACCTCAGACACAAGAGTTGCTTGAATCCGGGAGGTGGAGGTTGCAGTGAGCCAAGATCTCACCATTGCACTACAGCCTGGTAGACTGTAGTCTCAAAAAACTTTTGAGTTTTGAGACTCCGTCTCAAAATACAAACAAAAAAAACCCATTATGCTAAGTGAAAGAAGCCAATTACAAATGACCACATATTACATAATTCCATTTACATGAATTATCTGGAATAGGTAAATACACCGCGGTAGAAAGCAGATTGGTGGTTGTCAGGGGGTTGGGGAGAGGGGAATGTGGTGTGCCAGCTGAGGGTACAGCTTTCTTTTGGGAGTGATGAATATGTTCTAATATTGACTGCAGTGCTGGATGCAGAACTCTGTACATACAACAAATGTCACTGAATTGCACATTTTAATGGCTAAGTTGTATTATGTAAATTACATTTCAGTAAAGCTGTTAAAAAAAAAAAAAAAAAAAGCCAGCCAGGTGTGATGGCATGCGCCTGTAGTCCCAGCTAGCAACCAATGCAGGAGGCTGAGGCAAGAGGATTGTTTAAGCCCAGGAGTTCAAGGTTACAGTGAGCTATGATGGTGCCACTACACTGCAGCCTGGGTGATACAGTGAGACTCCAATCTCTTAAAAAAAAAAAAAAAAAGGCAAAAAAAGCTTGGCTGGGGAGAGGGGAGGGTGAATTTCACAGGAGGACACCCTGTAGCTGGCACAGGTAATGCTGAGTCCTAGAGGCTGCAGGTTTGCAGGCAGGGGCGTCAGCCACTCCCTCACCTGCCTGCCCTCCTCCCCTGCCTTTCACAGAAGGCCATCCTGGGTTCTCTCAATCTGCTTCCTGCTCACCTTTTCCTTCTGCTCCATGGGCCTCCACGGGCAGTGTCTTGGGAAGGACCCAGCACACAGGCTGGTGATCCTAGGGAAAAAGGTGTCAGGCCCAGGTAGGGAAGGCAGAGGGTATCAGCCCACTGAAAATGAGGACGTCCGGGTGGGAAGTGATGACGGGACAGTCATTGGGAGTGGGATTCAACACTAGGACAGACAGATGCTGGAGAGGAGGAGGCAAAACAGATGCAAGGGACTCTACGCCGTTTGGGTTGGAAGATTCTGTGAACGCCTTGTGGCCCCTGTGCTGCCCTGCCTTACGCATTGGAGGGGTGGGGATGGAGGCATGGAGAGGCACAGCAGGACCTGGCCGATTCCCGGGTCCCTCTGTGTCCCCGGCATGGCCTCCTGTCCCTCCCACCCAGGCCTTTCAGCTGGGCTCACTCATGGCCTCTGGCCAAACTCAGTAGCTGTGTCAGGGCAGACTCATGTTTTAGATTCCCAGAAACCCAGTTCAAAAGAAGGAGGTAGACTCGGGACAGCTGGCCCAGAGAGATGGGATGTTATTTGGCCATGGAAAAAAAAATAAGATTATTTTTTGGCCATAAAAAGGAACAAGGTTTTTTGTTTTGTTTTTTTGAGACAGAGTTTCACTCTGTTGCCCAGGCTGGAGCGCGGTGGCACAATCTCGGCTCAATCTCCATGGGCCTGCTCCATAGTGGATCTCGGCTGCAATCTCCGCCTCCCGGGTTCAAGTGATTCTCCTGCCTCAGCCTCCCGAGTAGCTGGGATTACAGACATGTGCTACCACGCCCAGCTAACTTCTGTATTTTTAGTAGAGGTGCGGTTTCACCAGTTGGCCAGGCTGGTCTCAAACTCCTGACCTCAGGTAATCCACCCACCTCAGCCTCCCAAAGTGCTGGGATTACAGGTGTGAGCCATTGCACCTGTCCAGGAACGAGATTCTCATCCATGCCACAGCACGGATATACCTGGAAGACATGATGCTCAGTGGAAGAAGCCAGACACAAATGGTGTACGATGCCATTTATAGGAAACATCCAGAAAAGACAAATGCAGGGAGACAAAGTGGAGAGATGTGGTTTCCAGGGGCTGGGGACGGGGTGATGGCTAACGGGTGCAGAGCTTCTTTCTGAGGTGCTCTAAAGTGGACTGTACATTTTCAATGGGCGAATTTTATAATATGTGCATTACAGCTCCATAAAGCTGTTAAAATTTTCTAATAAGTCTTTAAAAAAACAAAAAAGAACTGCTGTGCTACTGCACTATGACTCCATTTATGTAAAGAACAGAAAGTGACAACACGAACCTCTGCAGTCAGGGTGGTGAACCGCCCCAGAGTTGGGGGTGATTGAGAGGGAATATGGGGGCCTTTTGGGAGCCGGGAACATTCTGTTGCATGTTCCGTCTGTCAAAGTCCCTCTGTGTGTGACACATGCTTTTCTGTATGCAGGTCACACCCTCACTGCTCGGAGACAGCTCGATGCCTTGCCCTTTTTCCTCATTAGTGGGAGGCGACCACAGGAGGGGACAGAATAGAGAGACCAGAGCCCTGAATGAGTCAGGGTTACCAGGGAGATGATCTACGAAATCACGATCGGATGACAATGACAGCTACAGCTCACAACCGTGCAAGCAACTTGGCCGGAGCCACCTCGCTTCCCAGAGACCCCACAAGGGCTCCTATTATCCACGACGCTTCAGGCTCAGCACAGACAGGTTCGGCAACCTGCCCCAGCTCACCCAGTGGGGGCATGGAAGAGTCAGCTTGGAAGCCAGGTAGCGTACAGCCATGCTCTTACCAGATACCCTGCTGCCCGACTCTCCCTGGCCATCCGAATAGAATCCATTTTCCAAGGCCCAGATCCCTGAGAAAGGGACCACGTGGAGCTCCAGAGGGAATCTGGGAGAACAGAGAAGCCGCTGGCTGCTATGCTGCTAGCCAAACCCTCTCTGGCTTTCACTGGCTGTTGCTAATCCTTCCTGAGTCTGTTTTCTCGTCTGTGAGGAGGGCACACTGATACTGACAGAGGGTGAAGGGCACAGCCTCTGGAATCACACTTGGGCTCTACCCTACTCTGCTACCTGGGTCAAACGGCGTTGCCTCACCCAGCCTCTGTCTACTCCTTTGCAAACAGGAACCTCACAGGGTTGCCGTACAGTTTAGAGGAGATAAAGTCTGCAACATGCTCAGCACGGTGTCTGGTGAACTGGGAGTGCACCACAGATGGCACCTTGCAGGATGGGGACCCTGTGATGTCCACAGCACCCCGTCCTCAGTGCCTTGCACTGCTGGGCTTGGCAAGGTGGTCAATAAATGGTTTGCTGAGCGAATAATGAAGCGAATAATGAAGATGGCTGCACGCAGGGCTTCCCTCTTTGTCTGGCCCATCCTGAGGCACTGCCCTTCCCCAGGTGCCTTCCCCAGGGCCCAGGTGTCCAGACCCTGGAAGGAGAGCAGACCCCAATGTCCCAGGAGAGAGGGAGGAGAGGTGGGGGAGAAACCACCTAGAAGAGCCTGACCCATGTGCCTGGAGAAGAAATTAACTCAACACAAGAGGCCTGTCCCCAACCAGCAGCAACAAGACATGCTTGACCTGCTAGGAATTGAGCTGGGGACACAGTGTCCCCAGGTGCTGGCTTCACAACCCCCAGTGGGTGTGTAAATGGCTCTGAAGCCCGCTGCCTCTGCTCTCTCTCTCTCTCTCCATAGGCACCTGCTACATCCACACCTGACTCTCACCTCCCCCTCACCACTGGTGCCTGACTCTTGGAGCCTCAGTTTCCTCATCTGTGAGATGGGTGCAGACCTAATCCTTCCCATATCAAAGGGGATGGTTCAGGGTCAAACACAAGGTGGGGAGAGGGGTGCTGGCCCAGGCTCTGCCCCTTACCAGGCACATGGTCTTGAGTAATCACAGCATGTCTTCAAGCCGTGATTTCTCATATGTAAAATGGGGATCATAGGAATATCCAGGTAACATGATGGGGCTAATGAGATGATCAAATGAGATAAATCCACATAAGATGCTGAGTAGGCTGCCTGACACAGGATGAGCTCTTAATTTTAAAATAATAACAGTAATAACGGCAGCAGCAGTAACAGTAATCGCTGCAGCAGTATTAATAGTAGTAATAATAATAATGTAACAGCAGCTAACCTACGTACCCTCAAAATGGAAGGAACTATTCTAAGAGCTTTACATTATTACATAGGGTTCACAACAACCCTATAAAGTAGGTACTTATGCCCATTTTATTTTCTTAATTTTTTTTTTTTGAGACGGAGTCTCACTCTGCCGCCCAGGCTGGAGCACAGTGGCGTGATCTCTGCTCACTGCAACCTCCACCTCCTGGGTTCAAGTGATTCTTGTACCTCAGCCACCCGAGTAGCTGGGATTACAGGTACCTGCCACCATGCCCAGCTAATTTTTGTATTTTTAGTAGAGATGGGGTTTCACCATGTTGGCCAGGCTGGTCTCGAACTCGTGACCTCAGGTGATCTGCCCTCCTCAGCCTCCCAAAGTGCTGGGATTACAGGTGTGAGCCACTGCACCCGGCCTGTGCCCATTTTAAAGATGAGGAAACTGAGGCAGAGAGATGAAGCCACTTCTCATTGTTAAGAATGATACTGGCGGACCCAGGCAGTGGCATGGTGGTTGGTGCCTGGCCTTCAGGGACTTTCCCTAAAACCTGCCAATGTCCCTTTTCAACAAGGAGAGCACCGGCCTTGAGTCCAGCGCTTAGGACAGGCTAACCTTTTCATTTCATCAGTTTCATGCTCCATCAATACTCGTGTCAGTTTTGTTTTCCTTCCTCCCTAGGTCCCCGCCGGGCTGGATGAACCGGCTTTTCTAAAGGTGTCGCAGCCCAGGCTGCAGCCATGGGAACAGGCTCTGCCTCACCTCAGAGCCCAGGGCTGACGGCAGGTCACTGCCCTCAGCCAGAGCTGATTCTCATGGCCAGTGGTGTTGCCCCAGTGACCATCAGGGGTAGCGGGGATTGCCCAGGAGGGCTCCAGGGCCACACACCTTCCAGGCCTCCTGCGGGAGAGCTTGAGCCCTCGGGGCTTCAGAATGTCCCCCTGGAGTCATGAAGGGCTCGCGTGACATCAAGCTGTGCTAAGCACTGCAACACTTAATCACCCCCACATAATCATGAGTGGCAACAATGATGATCCTATTTTACAGACCAGAACACAAGGCCCAGAGAGGCAAAGAGACTAAGCCCCAGTCACACAGCTAGAGTTGGCGCGGGACTCCAGCTCTGCCTCCAGGCTGGCTCGAACCATCTTGCGCTTCCTCACTCTCACCACTTCCTTCCTTCCAGTTGCGCATTTTTACGTTAAAGAGAGAAAGAGCGAGGCATCTGCTCTCACCCAGCCCCCAGCCCTCAGCCCAAGAGGCCCCATCTGGGACCCAGGAAGAGGGCAGGACAAGCGTCAGGCCAACAAGAAGGGAAGGACCAGGCTCAAAAAACCACCGAGGACTGTGCTGGGCTCTTCCTCAAGCCTCGTGGTGTGGGTTGGTTTCCGGTGGCTTTCGGAGCCCAGCTCAGTTGCAAAGTTCTCTCTAGGGGTACTGAGCATGGAGCTCCCCAACCCCCACCAACCACCACAAGGCTAACCGACCTCCAAGGTGAGGGTGCAGCCAGGCCCCAGATTCTCAGGCCGGAACTTCCACCGCTCCAGGGCTCCCTGCACTGAGGGAGGCCACTTTGCCGGGCTGCCTGCCCAATGTCCCTCTGAGTTCCCCTTCCTGCACTGCCTGCCCAGTGCCCCTCTGATTCCCCTTCCTGCACTCACTGTTCAGCATGTGGTGTCCCCCACAGTGGGGAAGCTGAGGCCCCATGGAGACTCTTCAAGGCAGAGACTGCATGTCACTCAGCACATGTCTTCCCAGTAGCCAAGATACTCAAAGTGTGGTTTCTGGGCCAGCAGCATCTGCATCACCTGGAGCTTATTAGAGATGCACCATCTCTCCCTACTCCAGACCTACTGAATCAAAACCTGCATTAATACAGTAGTGCATTCATGGCTCACTGCAGCCTTGAACTCCTGGGCTCAAGTGATCCTCCCTCCTCAGCCTCCTGAGCAGCTGGGACTACAGGTGTGTACCACCACACCCAATTTATTTTTGGTAAAGACAGGGTCTCACTATATTTCCCAAGCTAGTCCTGAACGCCTGGGCTCAAGTGATCCTCCCGCCTTGGCCTCCCAAAGTGCTGGCATTACAGAACCTGCATTTTAACGCAGTCCCCAGGGCATTCACGTACACATGAATGCGTGAGAACTGCTGGCCTCTTAATCTCTCAATGTTTCAAAGCACCTGGAATTGTGCAAATGTGCTAGGCAATTCTCCTATCCACATTTTTGCACAGAAGATTCTGGCAAGAAAGGCCTGGTCCTTTTTGCTCCTGGCAAATGCCTCTTTGAAAAGCTGGACAACGTCGCCAAGACCACTCCCCCAGGCAAACACCTTCTCATCCCTGTCCCTGCCCCATGTCAGTCCCCCACTTTCCCCAACACCTGGAATTGACTTCTTACAGTGAAAGCAACTCAGCGACAAGCATTCGAGCCCCTTCAAGGAGCCAGGCACTGTTCTAGGTGCCAGCTGCAGAGGTAAAGACAGACACGATCCCTTACGGGGAATCTAGGAGAGCACAAAAAAGATGGGAAATAGAGTATCTCAGGGAGTGATGAGTACTTTGCAGAGAAATTCAGCAGAGAAAGGGAGGGGACCACAGGAGACCGGTACAAGTTTAAATGAGGTTGACCACAGAAAGGCCACAGGGAAAAAAGTGACATTTGAGCAGAGACCTGAAGGAGGGGAGGTTCTCCACTCCCATGTGTCCAGCTGGTGGGGAGGGTGCTACCAGCATCTAGTGGGTGGAGGCCAGGGATGCTGCTCAGCACCCCACAGTGCCCAGGACAACCCCCAGTGAAGAATCATCCAGCCCCAGAGCCCAGGCTCAAAAACCCTGCTCTAGGGGAAAAGCATTCTAAGAAGAAGGAACAGCATGAGCTAGAGCCCTGGGGTGGGGAACAAAGAATGTTCATGTAACTTGGGCAAAAATAATTGGAGATGGGTGTGGCAGGGGCCCAACCGTGCAGGGGCCAGAAGGACACTGAGAGGCCTCAGCGGAGGCTCTGACTCCCAATGGGTGAGACAGAACATCTTCAGCAGAGAAGAGACAGTCTCATAGGACCCTCCCACATGGTACCGTGAGCCTGGATGGTGGATGGACAGTGAAGACAGACACAGGGGAACCAGGGAGGAGGCTGTTGGGGTAGCCCAGGCCAGAGACCATGGCAGCTGGATGAGGGCAGGGGCTGGGGGAGCAGAGGAAGAAGGGGAGAGAAGTAGCAAATCCTGGGCTCCTTGGGAGGTAGAAATGGCAGTGTTTGCTGATGAACTGGAAGCAGGGCTGAGACAAAGGGAGGAATCAAAGGTGACCACTGCAGGGAACTGTGAGGCTGCCGTTCACCACAGAGGAACGGGGGACCTCTGGGAGGGATGAGGAGGTGCTTGCTTTGAAAGGGGCATGTTAAGCGGCATGTCTTATTGGATATTAAGTGGATGGGCAGTTGCTACATGAGTCAGGAGCTCAGGGGAGAGGTCCTGGGAGGACATACAGATGTAGGAGCTGGCCGGGCACAGTGGCTCACACCTATAATTTCAGCACTTTGGGAGGCTGAGGTGAGAGGACTCCTTGAGCCCAGGAGTTCAAGACCAGCCTTGGCAACATGGCAAGACCCCATCTCTACAAAAAATACAAAAATTAGCCGGGTATGGTGGTACATGCCTGTAAGTTCTGGGAGGCTGAGGCAGGAGGATCGCTTGAGCCTGGGTGGTTGAGGCTGCAGTGAGCTGAGATCGAACCACCACACTTCAGCTTGGGCAACAGAGCAAAACAACAACAAAAAAGTAGGAGCTAACATACAGCTGGTGTTTCAGGCCACATCTGTGCATTTTATTTCAAGGACAAAAGGAAACCCAAGTCATCACTAGGGCAAAGGCAAACCCTCTGTGATCTGCACCCAACTCTCCAATTCTCCTCATGTGCTGGGCCTTCTGCCTAGAGCTCCCCTCCCTCTTCTCTTCACACACCGGCTCCTTCTCTCCTGGTCTCAGCCCAGATGTGGCCTCCTCAGTGGCACCTTCCATGACCACCTACCCCAAGGACCCTCTCCTCCCTAGGGTTCCAGGGGATGGCTGTCTGCCCTGTTTCCTTCCTTTAGCTTTTTTTTTTTTTTTTTTTTTTTTGGGGCAGGGCTTCACTCTATCGCCCAGGCTGGAGTACAGTGGTGCGATTTTGGCTCACTGCAGCCTTCACCTCCTGGGTTCAACAGATGTTCTTGCCTCAGCCTTCTGAGTAGCTGGGACTACAGGCACCCGCCACCATGAATGGCTAATTTTTTTTTTTTTTTTGAGACGGAGTCTCACTGTGTTGCCCAGGCTGGAGTGCAGTGGCGCTATCTTGGCTCACTGCAAGCTCCGCCTCCCGGGTTCACGCCATTCTCCTGCCTCAGCCTCCCGAGTAACTGGAACCACAGGCACCCACCACCACGCCTGGCTAGTTTTTTGTATTTTTAGTAGAAATTCACTGTGTTAGCCAGGATGGTCTCGATCTCCTGACCTCGTGATCCGCCCGCCTCAGCCTCCCAAAGTGCTGGGATTTCAGGCATGAGCCACCATGCCCAGCCAACCTTAGTATATTGCTCATGTTATAGCATGAACTGGCTGATGTGCTAGCTTTCTCTCTGACTACCCCTCACACACATAAGCATCAGAACAGAAGTGCCCCAGCAGGGGAAGGGGAGCCTCCCCTTCTCAACCCTGTAGGATCCTCAGCTCTAAAACCCATCACGGAAGGCCCTGGACATTTGCAGGCTTGTAAGCAAGGACCATGTCAGTATCAACCATCCTGGGAAAAGAATCTCTATAAAAGTTTTATATGCGAGTACCTGCTAATAAAACTAAGACTGTTTAGAAAGCTGCTTTTTGCCTCGGGAACGCCTCCGCACCTTTTCACACCAAACTACCCCCTTGGTGGCTCTCCTCACGTCTGCCTTAACACTCTCACCTAAGCAGATGTGCGAGTCCAGCTGCCTCACGCCCGCTGTCTTTTCTGGGCATCTTTACAGCTACCGTAGCAGGTTTTCCTCTTTAAGTGAACGTGCATCATCCTAGCTGAGGCTTTTAAAGGGAGGACTCGCTGCCTCTTGGAATATATTAAATTCTGATGGTGAAACAGCCTGCTGAGCTAGGTAGGGCCTCAGCAACTTCCTTATGAGTATAGTATTTCTAAAAAAAGCTGTCGAGGCCAGGCATGGTGTCTCATGCCTGTAATCCTAGCACTTTGGAAGACTGAGGCAGGAGTATTGCTTGAGCCAGGAGTCCGAGACCAGCCTGGGCAACCTAGCAAGACTCGCATCTCTACAAAAAAATTTTTTTTTAATTAGCTGGATGTGGTGATACACATCTGTGGCCCCAGCTACAGCTCAGGAGGCTGAGGCAGGATGATCGCTTGAGCCCGGGAGTCGGAGGCTGCAGTAAACCATGACTGCACCACTGCACCCCAGTCTGGACAACAGAACGAGATCTTGCTCCCATCCCCTCAAAAAGTGGTCATATCATAGACAGGTTAAAAACAAAGCAAAGTGACTGGGTTAAAAGGGGATTTAATTCTGGATGAAGAGCAACATCACTGCAGTGGTTTGAGGCTACATCTCTTGCATTAGCCAGCTTTGCTTTTGAACTGAGGACCTACTGTGTAATTTTAACCTCTTCAGCCTCAGTTGCTTAATCTGTAAAATGGGGATAATAATGTCAACCTCAGAGGGTTCCTGAGACCATGTGAGCGTTGAGCCCAGCGTCTGGCACATGTTAGCACTCTGCTGCTGGCAGCTGGGCTCCCATTTCTGCTCACAACCCCGTGCTTTTTTTTCTTTTTGAGACAGTCTTGCTTCATCACCTAGGCTGGAGTGCAGTGGCAAGACAAGTTACTGCAGCCTCAACCTCCCAGGCTCAAACAATCTTCCCACCTCAGCCTCCTGAGTAGCTAGGACCACAGGTGCATGCCACCATGCCCGGCTCATTTTTAAATTTTTTTTGTAGAGACAGAGTCTCACTGTGTTGCCCAGGCTCGTCCCAAACTCCTGGATTCAAGCAATCCTTCCACCTCGGCCTCCCAAAGTGCTCAGATTACACGTGTGAGCTACTGCACTGGGCCAATCTTGTGGTAACTTCAAAAAATGACAGAGCAGTGGTAAGAACACTGCTGAGGGCCTGGGTGTGGTGGCTCACACCTGTAATCCCAGCACTTTGGGAGGCCGAGGCGGGTGGATCACCTGAGGTCAGGAGTTTAAGACCAGCCTGGCCAACATGGTGAAACCTTGCCTCTACTAAAAATACAAAAATTAGCCAGGTGTGGAGGTGGGTGCCATAATCCCAGCTACCTGGGAGGCTGAGGAAGGACAATTGCTTGAACCTGGGACGGGGAGGTTGCAGTGAGCCAAGATCGCGCCACAGCACTCCAGCCTGGCTGACAGAGCGAGACTCTGTCTCAAAGAGAAAAACAAAAGGAACACTGCTGAAGGAAGAAAAACAGGACCTGGAGTTAGGACATTTTGCTGACGCCCCACTGTCTGGGCTATCAGAACATGGGGCTGCACGTTGGTGGCATTTGACATGGAGCATGGAGTCCCTTTTTTTTCTCTTCCCTGTGTACGTCTGTGGTTGCATTTACCTCCGGAATTACTCCACAGTCAATGGCTCGATGAACCTAAAAATATTTTTTGTAATGTGGCTTTATCTAATCATGCCTCCTAATGGCCTGCACCACTACATCTGAAGTATTCCATAGCGTCTATTTCTGGCATTTATAAGCCTGCCAGCGTGCTATCAGGAAATTAAAAATTGTTGTTTAAAACATTTACCAGTTAAGGGGCCCAAAAAGAGAAAGAAAAAGTGCAAGAAGCTATTTCTGTATTTTCTTCATTATTTAAAATTCTGACCTTTTAACAGGTTTACCTGTGGAGGTCGCCTCTGCTAGATGGAAAATTTCTGAGTGTACAGGGGAAGAGCCCCCCGAATGGTAGGTGGCTAATGAACGTGTTAGAATTAGATAGAAATTCCTTTTTTTTTTTTCTTTTCTATTCAGGCATTTTGCCGAGAGGCCACAGAAATTCAGTGCTTTGTGGTCTGGATGAATTCAGGTCTTGAGGATCCTGAAGCATATACGATTTGGGGGTTCCCTCTTTTAAAAAGGGAACATAACAAAATGAAATTTTTTTTGAGACAGAATCTCGCTCTGTCACCCAGGCTGCAGTGCAGTGTCATGATCTCAGCTCATTGCGACCTCTCCCTCCCATGTTCAAGCGATTCTCCTGCTCAGCCTCCCGAGTAGCTGGGATTACAAGCACACACCACCACGCCCAACTGATTTTTGTATTTTCAGTAGAGACGAGGTTTCACCATGTTGGCCAGGCTGGTCTGGAACTCCTGACCTCAAGTGATCCGCCAGCCTCAGCCTCTCAAAGTGCTGGGATTACAGAGTGAGCCACTGCGCCCGGCCAACAATATGAATGTCTAAAAATCAGGTACCGGGCTGTGTAAAGAACCCACGCAAAAGTAAGGCCTTGAAGTGGGGCTTTCAATGCCGCAAGACGAACCCTCCCCTAGATGTCCTCAGATGACTTCTGGAAAGAGATGGGACCAGGCCCAACACAGATAAGAAACGGTGGCTTAAAAACAAAATCAATTTTGGTCCATCAATTGCCTCATGAGAGTTTGTAAAGCTATATTCAATTTGTCAAGCCGCACATTTAGAAATCCAGTTCTTCTTTAAACTTCTAAGTGCAACTTACAAATCTTATTCATCTGTATCTAAAGCCTGTGGTTCTGAATGATCATTTTTAAGGGGACTTTTGCATTCAAGGTCTTCACGAGCCTCCTGTGGGATCCTCATAAGCACGTGGGTCCTTCGCTGTCTGAGCGGGAAGGGGCAAAGGAGGTGGCACCCTCTCCCCCATCGCAGATTGTAGTGGGGTGCCAGGGGCCTTCACTAGGGAACCCCAATCAACGCCATTTTCATGTGGGGGAATGTCCCCAGAAAGAAAAGGAATTTTGTCCATGCTCTGAAAACCCAGCACAGCCCAGGGCCTGTTGGACAGCTTCCAAGATGTGCCAGGATCTGAGAGGTTGAAGACCGGGCCTGGGGTCACTTAGAAAACCCCTGGCAGAGAGGGGACAGCACTGGGGATCAGTTCCCAAGCCAGGGCTGCTCAGGGGAAGATGGGCAGGAAAAGGCCAGGGGAACCTTGAAAAGCTACCTCATCTCCCTTCTCTAGGCCCTGGAGGGTGGATTAGGATTAGGCAAAGCAGTTCTGGGAGGCTGGAAGGAGGCCCTTCCTGTAGGCCTGTTTGCATAAGAAGCTGTGGTCAGTCACCTCCTTCCTGCAGGCTGGGCTGGGGCTGTCACTATGTGCAGCTGACACGAACCTCGAAGCCGACTCTGAAGCTCTGAGACCAAGGCAGTGGTGACGGGAATTATAAACGCACCTCCCCCACCCCCAGTAGCAGGGCAGGAAGACTGAGGTCCTTAGAGATCACTTGCAAATCAAGACAATGCCCCTGGCTTCCTACAGCAGGATCTTGGCGCTGGGTTCAAACC
Organism: Homo sapiens; assembly: GCF_000001405.40. Classification (NCBI taxonomy): domain Eukaryota; kingdom Metazoa; phylum Chordata; class Mammalia; order Primates; family Hominidae; genus Homo; species Homo sapiens. The sequence continues at coordinate 117,070,636 of NC_000012.12, forward strand.
CCAGCTCCTCCACTTATGAGCTGTGTGACCCAGGGCCAGGTACATGGCCTCTCTCTCTAGCCTTACTTTCCCATCTGTAAAATGGGGAGAGTGAGCGTCCCTACCTCTACTTCCTATGGGGTTCTGTAGGACTGAAGTCAGCCTGGGCGACATGGTAAGACCTCATCTCTACAAAAATACAAAAAATGAGCCAGGTGTGGTGGCACACACCTGTAGTCCCAGCTACTCAGGAGGCTGAAGCAGGAGGAGCACTTGAGCCTGGGAGGTCAAGGCTGCAGTGAGCCAAGATCGCACCACTGCACATCAGCCTGAGCAACACAGCGAGACTCTGTCAAAAAATAAAAAAAAAGATTAAAGTAACACAATCCTGCTGTGTAGCACATAAAACACGTTCAAATAATAAGAGCTTACATTTGTGAGCTGTTTCTACGTGCCAAGACCCCTGCTGAATTCTTTCACCTGGATTACATCAACCTAACAAGGAAGTACTATTAAGGACAACAGGCCTCACGTAGGCCACGCTTCCTGCGCTGGAAAGAATTCTGCTAGTCATTACATTCACTCCTCATTCCTTTGTTCTTTCATTCATTCATTTATTCACTCATCCCTTCACTTGTTCATTTGAGCACTCTCACAGCACCTACTGTGTTACAGGCCCTGGACTCAGCACTTTGGCCAAGGAAAAAGGCAATCAGTTCCTGCCCTCCAAGAAGCCACAGTCTGCTGGGGTGAGGGGATGTGGGGGCAGTTATAATTCTGTGCTGTGAATGTTGGGATGGGGCACCCCCAGAAGGAGGCTGTGGGCCTTCACGGGGCAGGAGACGTGTCTTGGAAATGTGGTCCACACTGAGGCCTCAGCAAAGCAGAAGCCAGCATCTACACACCTGTGTGAGTCCCACATAAAGAACACAAAGATGACGTTGATGGCACTGGGTAGCCATCAAGAGGGCTGTTGAGCAGAGGCTGCTCACTAGCTCCTTTGAATGACCCTGCCAGGCAGGCACACTGAGGGCTTGTGCAAGGGTGCTACATATGAGGTCCTGGGGATGGGTGTGCAGGAGAGGGGCAAACAGGGTTTGGGGTGGCAGGGCAGGACCAACGGCTCACATTTCTAAGCTGAGCCTGGGCAGGTGAGGCCTGGGAGGTAGGAGTCCGGCGCCATCAGCACAGAGAGGCCGCGCCAGCTCAGCTCCTGCAGGAGGAGGACGCTCCACCCACTCAACCATGGAGGACCTACTGTGTGCTGTCCACAGTGCTGGGCAACGGAGGCACTTGTTAGAAATGCAGAGTCTCAGGCCCCACCCTAGAACTGCAGAAGCAAAACCTGCATGGCAGCAAGATTCCCAGGTGATTCGAGCACAGTCAAGTTGGAAAAAAACTGTTGTAGGGAATGCCATTTTAGTACGTCCCATTGTAAGCTTATGATGGGGTGCTAGGCAATGCATCAGGGCTCAGCGCCTAGAACCTAAAAGTGGGAGGGGCCTCCAACAGCCTCATATCCTCCTCCTCACACAGCACCTGGGCCCCCACCACACTCAGATTAGACCCTCAGGATGGGGTGGAAGAATAGCCCCATTTGCCAAATGCCTGTGAACCCAGCTTAGAGCTAAACTGCCCTGCTTGCACCTGCTTTTTTTTCCCCCTAGAGATGGGGTCTCACTGTGTTGCCCAGGTTGGGCTCAAGCGATCCTCCAGCCTTGGCCTCCCAAAGTGCTGAGATTATAGTCGTGAGTCACAGTGCCCGGCCGACTGCTCATTTTTAATGCTCAAATCAAATCCCAAGTGACCATGCTCACTTTCCAGATGAGGAGACCAGCTCAGAGAAAGGAAGTAACCAGCCCGAAGCCACAAAGCCAATGGCATGAAGGATTCTAATACAGTTGGACTCCGAAGCCTGGGTTTTTGCCTCTGCATCTCTATGCATGTAGAATATGAACCTAAAGTTCACCACCCAAAGTTGGATGGATCTAACATCAGATGCATAACAATAAGTCCAAGGCAGTTTGTTACAGGGCTGGGGGCTCCACTTGCTGGAAAACTGTCTTGAGGACAAAGGGGCTCTGCCTTCCCACATCCTCCACTGTGAGCTCCATAGCGGCTGCAGCTACCAGCGTAGGTACCAAGCACCTGGCGCAGAGCAGATGCTCATGAACTTTTTAAGAGACAGGGTCTTGCTCTGTTGCCCAGCCTGGAGTACAGTGGTGCACTCATAGCCCACTGCAGTCTTGAACCCCTGGGTTCAAGTGATCCTCCTGCCTCAGCTTCCCAAGTAGCCAGAGCTACATGTGTGCATCACCAGACCTGGCTAATTTTTAAATATTTTGTAGAGAAAGGGTCTTGCTATGTTGCCCAGGCTGCTCATTAACTTCTGAAGGAACAAGCAAAGCACGCCCTTGACACTGTTTTCCAGCATCCAGTGTCCATATATGCCACCTCCCCGCTAGATCTCAGTGCCTGGCTGACTTGTGTCATGCTACACACTCCTCAGCCTATGGACCAAGGAGGTTTCACCTTGCCCTGGTTGAAACCACCCGCCCTCCATCCCTGTCCTTGGAGGAAACTGACCCCAGGCCCCATGCCCTTATAGCTCTAGGGGAAAACATTTGCATGTCTGGTCTTTGGCCATGGCGATTGGCTCAGACTCAGGCCCGTGACCCCATCAGAGCCAATGAGAAGCCAGGTGACTCTTCCGCTGGGCTCAGGTTCTCTCTCCTCCACTGGGCTTGGTGGGCAAGATGTCTAGAATTAAAGGTATAAATCTTAATTGTCTTTAAGTCGGCCTTGGATGCAATCAAACTGAGACCAGAGGCCACAAGAATCATGAGACCGTCAGAATCTGAGCTCTTGAAATTAAGAATGAAATATACTGGATTAACAATATGCCTGTGTTTAGACAAACAAGAGAAAGTGGACATTTATATGTCAGTTTCCATAAAACCTAGGGGAAATTTAAGTCTGTTTACCAAGAAGGAAGTTTCCCTGGAGTATTAGAAGGTTTGTTTCAAAGTTCCAACAAGCTGTAACCTTGAGACTCTGAATGCTTATTTTAGGAAACTACATCTGTTAGAAGTTTATGGTAGAAATTTGTTCAACTTGAAGCTTCCCCATGAACTCTGTGTGACGATCAAGTCACTGGCAAGGACCTCTCACTAACCCAGCTGTAAGTAACTCAAGCAGCACTCGCTTGTAATCCCAGCCACTCAGGAGGCTGAGGCGGGGGGACTGCTTGAGCTCAGGAGTTCAAGATCACCCTGGGTAACATAGCAAGACCACGTCTCAAAAAAAAAAAATACAAAACAATTAACAGGTCTGGTGCAGCGGTACACACCTGTAGTGCCAGCACTTTGGGAGGTAGAAATGAGGGGACTGCTTGAGGCCAGGAGTTTGAGACCAGCCTGGGCAACATAGTGAGACCCCCATCTCTACAAAAACTTTAAAAAATTAGCTGGTGTGGTGGTGCATGGCTGTAGTCCCAGCACTTTGGGAAGCTAAGGCAGGAGGATCACCTGAGCCCAGGAGTTCAAGACCAGCCCGAGCAACATAGCAAGACCCTGCTTCTACGAAAATAAAAGTAAATAAAAAATTACCTGGGTGTGATGGCACATGCCTGTGGTCCCAGCTGCTTGGGAGGCTGAGGCAGGAGGATCGCTTGGGCCCAAGAGGTTGAGGCTGCAGTGAGCTATGATCACAACACTGCACTCCAGCCTGGGCAACGGAGTGAGACCGTGTCTCAAAAAAATTAAAAATACCCAAATAACAAATAATTCAACCGGAATACAGTTTAAGGCATTCCTCTTCATTAAAAAGCAACCTAAAGGTATCTAAAAGATTAACAAAACACAATGCAGAAGGTTGATTTTCCTTAACAGAAATTTGAGGCGGCCACCCCCATCTTGCCTGAGGCCAGAACTAACCCTAAAGAAGGAGAGTCAAAAGACAGAGGTCCTGATGGCAGCCTGAGCCCCTAAGTCGGGCTGCACCACAACTGATACATCTTTGTGTGCCCGGCAGTTGGAAGGACCCTGGGATTTAACAGGACCTCCATATGTGTCTGAGATTCCAAGCACATTCCATCCGAGGAAGTCAGGGTGAGGCATGGGGTGGCTGAAGAGCCCTTCCTCGCTTCCACGATAGTTATAATTTATAATTGTGTGATCCTCATAGAAACAGAAGTGGTTCTTTCTTACTGTTTGGGAACATCTTGTCTTAGAAGAGACCAGAAGCATTAAAACAACTACAGTTGGCTCACGCCTATAATCCCAGCACTTTGGGAGGCTGAGACGGGTGGATCACAAGGTCAGGAGATCGAAACCATCCTGGCTAACACGGTGAAACCCCGTCTCTACTAAAAATACAAAACATTAGCCGAGCATGGTGGAGGGCACCAGTAGTCCCAGCTACTCGGGAGGCTGAGGCAGAAGAATGGTGTGAACCCAGGAGGCAGAGCTTGCAGTGAGCCGAGACAGCACCACTGCACTCCAGCCTGGGCGACGGAGCGAGACTCCATCTCCAAAATAAATAAAAAATAAAAAGAAAACAACTACCCCCGCTACTCAGCACTCAAGAAAAGAAACAGGACAAGAAATTTGCAAGGGCATGGCCCCACCCAGCACCCAAACCCGCTGCCAATCTTACCGAATGGTAGGCTGATCTCCACTCAGCTGCTTAAATCTCCGATGGAGCTGCTCGATCTGATCCGATGAGACTGAGAAGTGGGGGAAAGAGAGAAAAACAAGACAGAAAAAAAAATCACTGACTGTCAGAGGGAGGCTGCAGATATTCTTTTGCCCCATCCCCACTGGCTGCCACACCCCTTCTCAAAGCATCTCCCACCATGGCAAAAGCGAGTGCCGGGTGAAGCAGCAGAGAAAGGATTTCCCGTTCTTCCCAGAAACAGCTCTGCAGTCATCAGTTCCAACTGCCTTAGTAATAATAATACAACTATTACTAATAGCTCCTGAGACAGGGCAGTCATGAAGCAGGCCATTCTCCCAGCCTCTGACCTTACCCAGCCCACTACAGAGAAACTTTGTTTTCTGTGGCAGGGTTTCACTTCCATCACTCAGGCTGGAGTACACTGGCACGACCTCGGCATCTCAGCTCACTGCAGCCTCCACCTCCTGGGCTCCAGAGATCCTCCCACCTTGGCCTCCTGGGTAGCTGCAACTACAGGCAAGTGTCACCATGCCCGGCTAATTTTCGTGTGTGTGTGTATATATATATATATATATATATGTGTGTATATATATATATATATATATATATATATATATATATATGTGTGTGTGTATATATATATATATATGTATATATACATATATATATATATATGTATGTATATATATATATATTTTTTTTTTTTAGAAATACAGGGTTTCACCATGTTGCCTAGGCTGGTCTCAAACTCCTGGACTCAAGCAGTCTGCCCGCCTCGGCCTCCCAAGGTGCTGAGACTGCAGGCATGAGCCACCACGCCCAGCCTAGAGAAAACTGCATCTGGTTGTCTGACTCTTCCTCTTCCACTCCAGAAGATGAGTTTTATCCTAGCCGAGAAAGGGGCTTTTTATAGTCACAGACTCAGAGTCAGATGAGTAGCGAGAGGAAATAAGGGTTCAGGCTGGTGTTGGACATGATCTGGGAAACCTACACTGAGAAATGTATGGAGAATCTGGTGGAGCAAAGAAATGGAAGGACTCCAATCTGGTGATGGGGTAAGACCCTGTCTCTAAAAAATGCACAATATTAAACAATGATCTGCATTTCTCACTTCATTATCAAAACAACTCAATAAGTGAGTGGATATTATCTCAGGTATTTTGTTTGTTTTGAGACAGAGTCACACTCTGTCGCCCAGGCTAGAATGCAGTGGTGCAATCTCAGCTCATTGCCACCTCTGCCTCCGTGTTCCAGCGATTCTCGCGCCCCAGCCTCCCAAGTAGCTGGGATTACAGGCACGCGCCACCACGCCCAGCTAATTTTTATACGTTTAGCAGAGACGGGGTTTCGCCACGCTGGCCAGGCTGGTCTTGAACTCCTGACCTTGAGTGATCCGCCCACCGCAGCCTCCCAAAGTGCTGGGATTACAGGTGTGAACCATCACGCCCGGCCGTTATCTCAGTTTTATAATTTGAAAACTGCAGCTCAGAGAGCACGTAAGATCCCACAACACACAGAGGCAGAGCTGGGACTGAACTCCAAGTCTGTGCGACTGACCCCAAAGCCAGCCTTCACCAAGAAGTAATATCGCCTGTCTGCCCAGAGTACTTTGGCACTCAAGGACTTTAGGTCTGGTTCCTGGGGACTATATACAGTTCACACAAACCTTTCCAAAACACGGGCTGGACTGCGGAGCTGTGACCTCCCACCTCAGTCCTCCCAGCATTCCCTACCCCTAAGCACTGTTTTGCTCCTGTTACAGAGGCAGCTAATTTCTGGGGCCAACTGGTCACCTCACTTCCTGCTCATTGTTTTTTGGCCTCAGGCTCTTCAAGAATCAACAGCTCAGTATTCTCAAGCATCTCCAGCAGCTCGTTAAGGCTGTCAACCCAGACTGAGGGCTCTCTACTTCCTGTGGGCATGGCTCCAATGATCAGCTCATCTCTTCCTTTCAACACTCTAGGAGGGGGCTGTATCCTCTTGTTACAGATGTAGCCACTGACACTTGGAACGGTTAGGTGAATCATCAAAGTGCAATTTCTACCTTTCTGCAGGGAAATATGGCCATTTAGATCATAGGTATGTCAGCAAGGACACTGGCTACTTCATGGCCTAGCAATTGCACTCCTAGGTATATACACAAATAACGCATACTTCTGTTCACCCAAGCATGCGTACAAAGATGTCATGGCGGTGCCATTGGAATCGTCCTAAACTGGAAACTACCCACATGCCCAACAATGGCAGAGTAGAGTGCTAATGTGTAATATAGTCAAGCAATGGAATAGCACATGGCAGTGAAAATGAACAATATAGATAATCACAGACAAAAGCAGCCAGACAGGAAAGTGTACATACTTTATGATTCTATTTGCATAAAGTTCAAAAACAGGCAAAACTCAACTACAATGTTAGAGGTCAAGATAGTGGCTGCTCTTAAGGGAGGCATCATAGATGACGCTAATATTGTAACTGACTTTTGGAGGATGAGATGAGGAGGAGTAACTTGAATGGAGTGCAAAGGGGAGTTCTGGGTACTAGGAATGTTCCATTTCTAGATCTCCGTACACTTTACATAGTCGTGTTCTCGGAAACCTCAAAGAGCTGTCTGTATGCTTGAGTGATGCACTGTTCTGGATATGCACTATATCACGACAAAACATTTACTAAAAAAAAAATGTGTTATTCCTCCCTGACTAAAGGAGATCTGGGAAGAGAAAAGAAAAATGAATAAAAATTTTTTAAAATTGTAATTCCACTTGGCAGGAATGTATCCTAAAAAATAATAGATGCAACACGTACAAAAACATGAATACATAAATGTGTTCAACTTTGCATTATTTAAAATAGCTTAAAATTCGACTTGCCCTAAGTGACCATCAAAAGCAGATTGGGGCCGGGCACGGTGGCTCACGCCTGGAATCCCAGCACTTTGGGAGGCTGAGGTGGGCAGAGATCACTTGAGGTCAGGAGTCTGAGACCTGGCCAACATGACGAAACCCCATCTCTACTAAAAATACAAAGATGAGCCAGGCATGGTGGTAGGTACCTGTAATCCCAGCTACTTGGGAGACTGAAGCAGGAGAATCGCTTGAGCCCGGGAGGCGGAGGTTGCAGTGAGCCAAAATCGCACCACTGCACTCCAGCCTTGGCAAGAGAACGAGACTCTGCCTCAAAAAAAAAGCAAAAAACAGATTGGTCAAACACTTTTTGGTATGTTTAGCCAATTTTTGTTTAAAGTATACCTTTAGAGTGCAAGATGGAGGAAAAAAAATTGTTTTTAGGTATACTGCCTTTAACAGTGACAGTTGTGTATTTGCATAGAAATACATTCCACATATACTGCCTAAAAACAGCTTGCTACCAAGAGAGCACAACTCTGTGTTGTGGAAAAGACATAAAAATATACAAATGTGTTTAAGTAATTTAAAAATCCTAGAGTTATTTTCCCCAAAATAATAATAATTATTTCTCATCTCAATACCTGGATTAAAGACTGTTTTGCTTTTGGTTCATCTATATTTTCCCATTTTTCTCTAATGTACAATGTATATGTATTAGTCTTGTAATGAAGTTTTTCAGCCTACAACATGATCCCATCTGGATGGCTGAGGGATCTCATAAATACTGCTATTAATAAGTCATTCACTGGCTGAGTACTGTGTCCCAGGCACACATCATCTTCTTTAGTTCCTTCCATGACCCTATGAGGGACATGCTATTCCCGTTTTATAGAAGAATAAACTGAGGCTCAGAAGGGATGTAACTTGCTCAAGGTCACTGACCTTGATAGAGGCAGACCCACAATTTGAACTTGGTCTGTCTGGCAGAAAACATGTAGTTCTGTGTTTTGTTTTCTTTTTTTTATTTGTCTGTCTCCTTTTGTATGATCACTTAACCCCCAAAACACACTGATCTGAAGATAAATAAGATTAGAAATTACAGCTAAACAGGTGCACCTAAACAACCACTATTAAAGATGAGTTATGGCTGGGCGTGGTGGCTCATGCCTGTAATACCAGCACTTTGGGGGGCTGAGGCGGGTGGATCACTTGAGGTCAGGAGTTTGAAACCAGCCTGGCCAACATGCCAAAACCCCATCTCTACTAAAAATAAAAAAACTAGCCGAGAGTGGTGGCAGGCACCTGTAATCCCAGCTACTTGGGAGGCTGAGGCAGGAGAATCACTTGAACCCGGGAGGCGGAGGTTGCAGTGAGCCAAGATCGTGCCACTGCACTCCAGACTGGGTGACAAAGCGAGACTCCATCTCAAAAAAAAAAAAAGCGTTACCTTGAAAGCATCCTGGTGTGTGAAAGAGGCCACTGGAGAGGACACACACTGGATGATTCCATTTGCATGAAATGCTCAGATGGACAAATCCTTAGGAACAGAAAGTACACCAGTGGCTGCCTGAGGCCAGGGAGGGGAGGGGCTGGAGAGGGAGAACAGGGAGACACTGTCAATGGGCACTGGAGTTTCTTTTAGAGAGAGATAAAAATGTTCCAAAATTATATTGTTTTGATGGTTGCATAACCCTGTGATTATACTAAAACTATGGGGTTCAATTTAAATGGGGGTGAATCTCATGGTGTGTGAATTATATCTCAATAAAGCTATTTAAAAAATAAATTACATGCATAATCATAACAACAAGGGCAGACATTAACTGAGCATTTACCGTTTCCTGGCCTCTGTGTTCAACTACTTGGATAAGCCTGGGCTGGTACAACCCTCTCCTTAGTTCTGTTAGGTAGGTATGATTCTACGCCCATTCTAGAGATGAGAACTCTGGGATGTGCCCAAGGTCCCACAGCTAGGAAGAGGTATATAAATCATCCTAGATCAAGGTTATCTAATGAAGAGTTTCCAGTTAACAGTATCCAAAGTGCACGCAAGGCTGGGTGCGGTGGCTCACACCTGTAATCCAGCACTTCGGGAGGCTGAGGTAGGTGGATCACTTGAGGCCAGGAGTTCGAGACCTGCCCGGCCAACATGGTGAAACCCCATCTCTACTAAAAATGCAAAAATCAGCCAGGCGTGGTGGGGCGCACCTGTAATCCCAGCTACTTGGGAGGCTGAGGCAGGAGAATCACTTGAACCCGGGAGGCAGAGGTTGCAGTGAGCCCAGATCGCACCACTGCACTCCAGCCTGGGTGATGGAAAAAAAAAGAACATGCACACACGTGCAAATTCACATACACATACTCCCTCTGTCCTGCCTGATTGAAAGCAAAGGATTAGGAAGACAACCTCCCACCTCTGGGGCCCTCTTTTTGACACCCAAATCCCTAGAGCCAAGGGCTCAGCTCACAGCTCAGGGAAGACTCCTCTGGCACAGTAACTGAGAGAAAGGATGATTTCCGAAGCCTCAGGAACTGACTTTCAGAACACCCCAGGCCCTGGCAGGTGGAGCTGGTCTAACCCAACATGTCTGGTGAGCTGCTTCCTCCTAACTGCGCCCCCCCAACCCCTTCCCTGCCCCCACACCCGGGCTGACCCTGGGCCCCCAACAGGGCCCCTCGCATAAGCACCTGATGCATGTCTGCCTGCATCAGGGCCCCAAAGCCCACGGAAGGACCTGCCTTTTCCTCAAGGGCTCCTGGGTTGGTAGCTTTTCCAGTTTCCTTGCTCCTCACCTCTGAGCCCTTCTCCAGGGCCCTGAGGTCACAGTTGCCATGCGGATGATGGGCAGAATGGGCTTTGGTTCCTGGCAGCTGGACCTCATTATTTCTGGTTTTAGATTTCAACCTGAGGGAAATGCACACCAGTCCATGGGGCTGGTGGGAGTTTAACTGGCCTAATCTTTTGGAGATGGAGGTGAACTGTCACTTTGTATCATAAACTTCAACGTGAAGGAACACACCTGGCCTGTCCAAGTGGCTGCTAAGCCCTTGAAGGTGGTAAGCCCAGACTGAGATGGGCTGAAGTGGAAACCACACACCAGCCTGCCAAGACTAAGTACAAAAAAGAACACAGACAACTGCAATAACTTTTGATATTGATCATATGGTAAAAATGATCATTTTTAAATATAATGGGCTAAATAAAATACACTATTAAAATTCATCTCACCATTAATTTCTTTACTTGTCTTAATGTGGCCACGAGAAAATTTAGAATTATATTACATAATGTAATTACATTACAGCTACTAGAAAATTTACCATGATTACACCTCACATTATTATTTGTGTTGGGCAGCGTTGGTATATACCCTTTGAATCAGAACTTGATCCCTAGGAACAAATCCTGAGGAATTAAGACAGGCGTATAAAGATGAACAGATGAGGGTAATCAAGGTTGCCTGTTTAGAACAGTAAGAAACTGGGGGGCTGGGTGTGGTGGCTCACTCCTTTAATCCCAGCACTTTGGGAGGCCGAGGCTGGTGGATCACCTGAGGTCAGGAGTTTGAGACCAGCCTGGCCAACATGGTGAAACCCCATCTCTACTAAAAATACAAAAATTAGCTGGGTGTGGTGGTGCATGCCTGTAATCCCAACTACTCAGGAGGCTGAGGCAGGAGAATCACTTGAACCTGGGAGGTGGAGGTTGCAGCGAGCCGAGATCGTGCCACTGCACTCCAGCCTGGGCAACAAGAGCAAAAACTCTGTCTCAAAAAGAAAAAAAAAGAAAAGAAGTTGGGGGAAATGGGCCAGGTGTGGTGGCTTGTGGCTGTAATCCCAGCACTCTGGGAAGCAGAAGTGGGAGGATCACTTGAGCCCAAGAGTTCAAGACTAGCCTGGGCAAGACAGGAAGATCCCATCTATACAAAAAAAAAAAAAAATCAAAAAATTAGCTGGGTGTGGACTAGTGAGGCTGAGGTGGGAGGATCACTTAAGCCTGGGAAGTTGAGGTTGCAGTGAGCCAAGATTGCACTCCAGCATGAGCAGCAGAGCGAGGGGCTGTCTCAAAACAAAAAGAAAAGAAATTGGCTGGGCGCAGTGGCTCAAGCCTGTAATCCCAACATTTTGGGAAGCCGAGGCGGGTGGATCACCTGAGGTCAGGAGTTCTAGACCAGCCTGGCCAATGTGGTAAAACCCCATCTCTACTAAAAATACAAAAATTAGCCGGGCATGGTGGCAGGTGCCTGTAATCCCAGCTATTCAGAGGGCTGAGGCAGAAGAATCGCTTGAACCTGGGAGGCAGAGGTTGCAGTGAGCCAAGAGTGCCATCACACTCCAGCCGGGGGGACAAGAGTGAGACTTTGTCTAAAAAAAAAAAAAAAGAAATTGGGGGAAATACTGAGCCACAGAAAATGAGACAGATGAGTCCTGGTACATCCTGAAGTCAGAATACTACACAGCCTTTATAAATATTTTTTGAATATTGTGGGACATCGGAAAATGTCATATGGCATGTTGTTGCACGGAAAATCCAACAGACTAAGATCTCATTTACACGTGAAAGTTCATATTGATATACACATGTGCACAAGAAAAAATAGAAAAGGGTATACAACAAAATAATAGTAGTCAGTTGTTTTCAGATGGTAGAATTACAGAACATTTTTCTCCTCCTCCCTTTGACCCTAAATTTGGTTATCTGTCCCTTAACTTTTCTGCAATTTACGGAGATTACTTGTATAATTGTATTTGGGTTAAAATTTTTTTAACCATGATGACTATAATGATAAATAAAAGAAATAATAGATGTTGATGAGGCTATAGAGAAACTGAAACTCTCATACATTACTAGCGAGGATTTAAATGGTACAACCACCGTGGAAAACAGTTTGGTAGTTCCTCAATCAATTAAACACAGAATTACCATGTAATCCAGCAATTCTACTCCAAAACAATTTTTTTTTTTTTTGAAACAGAGTCTTGCTGTGTCACCCAGGCTGGAGTACAGTGGCACAACCTTAGCTCACTGCAATCTCTGCCTCCTGAGTTCAAGTGATTCTCCTGCCTCAGCCTCCCCGCACTGGGTGGCATGTGCCACCACGCTTGGCTAATTTCTATATTTTTAGTAGAGATGGGGTTTCACCGTTTTAGCTGTGCTGGCCTTGAACTCCTGATCTGAGGTGATCCACCCACCTTGGCCTCGCAAAGTGCTGGAATTACAGGCGTGAGCCACTGCGCCCAGCCAACAATTCCATTTATACCCGAGATAAAAGAAAATGTTCGTCCACACCAGAAACCTGTAACCAATGTTCAAAGCAGCACTGTTCATAAGTGCCAAGAGGTGGAAACAATCCAAACGTCCATCAACAAAGGAATGGGTGAACAAAATGTGGCACATCCAGATGACAGAACATTATTCAGCAAAAAAAGAAATGAAGCATTGGTAAATGCTACAGCATGGATAAACCTTGAAATAATCACACGATGTGAAAGAAGCCAGACATACAAGGCCACACGGTGTATGATCCCATTTACACGAAGTGCCCTGAACAGGCAAATCTAGTGAGAAATGAAGTAGATTGATGGTTGCCAGGGGCTGGAGGGTGTTGAGGGAATGAGAAGTGACTGCCAGTGGGTATCCTTTTGGGGGTGATAAGTTGTTCTACAATTAGGTAGTGGTGGCCAGGCACTGTGGCTCACACCTGTAATCCCAGCACTTTGGGAGGCTGAGGCGGGTAGATCATTTGAGGTCAGAAATTCAAGACCAGCTAGGCTAACATGAGACCCCATCTCTACTGAAAATACAAAAATTAGCCAAATGTGTTGACACGCACCTGTAGTCCCAGCTTCTGGGGAGGCTGACGCAGGAGAATCGTTTGAACCCAGGAGGCGGAGGTTGCAGTGAGCTGAGATAGCACCACTGAACTCCAGCCTGGGTGGCAGAGCAAGACTCCATCTCAAAAAAAAAAAAAAAAAAGAATTAGACAGTGGTGATGTTTGTATAACTTTGTGAATATACTAAAAGCCACTGAACTGTACACTTTTAAATGGTAAATGTCATCAGCTGTGAATTAGGTGTCAATGTAAAAACTGTTTAACCTTGGGGATGAAGGGGCAATAGAAGCCAATTCCTTCCTCAGATGCTGTCAAGGTGGGGTTGAGAATTTCAGTGTCTCCAGGGTCAGAAAGGCATGAAGTGAGAGAAGGGGCCCGTGCAGGCATGAACTGGAGTCCCACCCTGTCGAAGGGGCTGCCACCGTTCCCTCCAGCCAGTTGCTGCCATGGGAGGCCAGATTTTCCCCTTTCATTAAGAGGAGGCAGAAATCCGCTGGGTTAAAAAATATTGGCAATCGACTGCAAAGGGTTCTGAATGCTGGGGTAAGCGCATTGCCTGCCTGGCCCTGGCCTCCCCCATCAGGCTGTGGGGACCTGCTTGCAGCCCTGCTGTGCTGAGCAAGGCATCACCAGTGGGAGGAGAGCCACACAGGGTAGGGGGTCAAGGACAATGGTCCAGAACAGGGAGGATGGGAGGGGCCCAGGAGCAGAGGAGCAGGCCTGAAATCCACCCTGGAGTCCAGCCTCCCTCCCCTGACTCAGGAGGAAAGAGAATGTCAGCATGCGCTCCCATCCATTTTGGGGCACCAGGACTCTGTGAGCCTGTAGTCCCAGGACCCAGATGAGGGGCATGCACACCACTGCCTCCTCTTCCCACAACCCCTGCTGGCCCCCAGGAGTGTGTGGGCCCTGAGGGGCACCCCCAAGGCCCCACCTGTGCTTGCATGGCCCTCTGAGCACCTCTGGTTTGCTAGGTGCTTGCTAGAGGCCAGGAAAGCAGATGCAAAAAGCGCAGCCCCACTCTGCTAGAAATGCACATCCCCTCGCCAGGATCCAGGACAGTAAACGCTGCTTCAGCTGGCCAAGGGGCACCAGGGTTGCAGCGGAGGTTCTAGGCCACGGGGATGGGAGCAGGAGGTGATGCCCAATGGGGTTCTGGGGGTGGGGTGGACAGGGCTGGCAGAAGGCATAGCCTTGGCAGAGGCAGAACACACAGGGCTCAGGGAGCCTCGGGCTCTTCAGTGTGGGTAGAAAACAGGCAGGGAATGAAGCAGCTGGGGTGGTGGGGGCGTGAAGGCCTCATCTATCAGTCCAGGACATTTGGACTTGCCCTGAGTCTACAGAGGACACCAAGCCAGGGAACGAGATCTGAAGTGCCCGGCAATAGACAGCGTGGGTGTGGATGAGACTGAGAGACAGCAGGTGCAGCCGCCCAGGGTGAGGGTCGGGAAGGCAGAAGGTGGAAGGGCTCAGGGCAAGGCCCCACTGGAAGAAGCAAGCACAGCTGAGAGCCTTCTCCCGTGCCCCAGGGACTCCCCAAGCCACCCTGCCTCCCACTGGCCCCACCAGCTGTGCCAGCCTGGATGCCAGCCCCAGGACACCAAGGGGCATCACTGGGGGGCTCAGTGACTTCCAAGACCCCAGCTCTCTCCTGCTTGCCACCTCTTGAAAGATTGGCCAGGACTCAACCCAAACACTGGGGAAATCCCGGAATACAGAGGTGAGCCAGGCTGGATGGAAAGGTGAGCTCCTGACAGTGCTGCCGGGGGAGGCTGCTGTGAGTCTCTGCTATGCATCCCACTCAGCTGTCACCCTGAACTCATGAGGCTGCTTCCTCCTCCGTGATACAGAGGTGACAACGGGATGTCCTCCCTTGTGAGGTTGTTCATGTCATGAAAAACCACCACAAGCTATTCACAATCACAACCACCAACATGGCAACTACTCAATGTCCAACAACTGGTGAGTGCAAAAACAAAATGGGTATATCCAGGTGATGAGATGTTATAAAGCAATACAAAAGGAGGCAGCCCTGTCATACTCCAAGAAGGGATAACACTAGATATACAAGGCCAGCCTACTGCAGGATGCTATTTACATGAAATGCCCCAGACAGGCAGATCCACACAGGCAGAACACAGATTAGTGGTCGCCAGGGGCTGGGAGAGGAGGAAATGGGGAGTGACTGCTAATGGGTATGAGGTTTTTTGGAGGGCGATGAAAATGCTCTAGAAATAGATACGGTGATGTTTTCAAATCATTGTGAATGTACTTAATGCCAATGAATTATACACTTTAATTTTTTTTTTTTTAATAGGGATGGGGTTTCACCATGTTGGCCAGGCTGGTCTCAAACTGCTGACCTCAAGTGATCTGCCCACCTCGGCCTCCCAAAGTGCTGGGATTACAAGCATGAGCCACTGCTCCTGGCCTGAACTGTATACTTTAAAATGGTTACAATGTTAACTTTTTTTTGAGACAGGGTCTCTCGCTCTGTCACCCAGGTGGATGGAGTGCAGTGGCACGATCACAGCTCACAGCAGCCTCAAACTCCTGGACTCAAGTGATCCTCCCTGCCTCAGCCTCCCGAGTAGCTGGGACTACAGGTGCACACCACAGCACCCAGCTAATTTTTTTAATTTTTCTTTTGTAGAGACAGGGTCTTGCTATGTTGCCCAGGCTGGTCTCGAACTCCTGGCCTCAAGTGATCCTTCCACCTCAGCCTCCCAAAGTGCTGAGATTACAGGTGTGAGCCACAGCGCCCAACCTAAAATGGTAAATTTTATATTACATGAATTTTGCATCAATTTTTAAAGAGATCATGCACACCCTTAGCACAGGATCTGGTAGGAGACGTAGGAGATGCAGGAGACGCTGGGGTTGCTGGGACTGTTATTATTGTTCCCTAAGTAATCCTGTGATACCATCATGGCTGTTCAGCTGGATTCAAGCTCACCAGGGACGCAGCAACTTGCATGCCTCCTGCGGCTACAGCCAAAACAATGACTAACCCTGGGCCTTGGGAGGGAGGCAGGGAGGGACAGCCTCCTTAGCCTTGCAGGGGCCACTCCACAGGGGACTACCCTCTCATGCCTGGCACACGCAGGGCACTTCATGATGCTGGATGCTGGCTCCTCTCCTTCACCTGCCTTTTCCTTGGATGCCATGTGCTGAACTCGTATACACCATAGATCACTCTTAGCTGCTGGGATGTTAAAATTAACCAAAGATGCATTTGGGTGCACTTGGCCTTGAGAAGGAAGCTCTCAAACCCAATTCTGTCCTTCAGAGCAGCAGCAGCAGCAGCTTGAAGATTAATTGCTGGCATTTATGCAGCACCTTAATACCCTTTTTCATGCCAACTTCAACCCACTTTGTAAGTGTGAAAGCCAAGGAATTCCTGGTAAGAGCTGCCACAGGCCCACGTCAGCAGTGTTTATTTCAACCTCGGATACCAAGGGTCCTGTTAGGATCTCTGCGGGTTTTTTCCTACCCTGAATGAATCCTCCAATTCTCAGGACTGAAGGGGAAGCTGGGACAGAGTGAATTGACTTTAGAATCTACTCTTCTCTCATGAGCAATAAGGCAACTGAGAAAGCTGTCAGAGTGGGTGCTCGTGACTTTAAAAATCACAGTCTGTTTCGCTCATCTATGTTCCCTTCCTACAGCTATGCTCTGTTCTTTACCATGCGCCTTATAGCAGTAATAATAACCACCATGTGCTTTAGCTGGGCGTGCTGGTGCACGTCTGTCATCCCAGCTACTTGGGAGGCTGAGGCAGGAGAATCGCTTGAACCTGGGAGGTGGAGGTTGCAGTGAGCCAAGATCGCACCACTGCACTCCAGCTTGGGTGACAGAGCGAGACTCTGTCTCAATAAATAAATAATAATATAATAACCACCATGTGTTAACATTTACCCAGAGGCTAGGACTCAGCCAAATGCCTGGAATTATCTTAGTTAGTCCTCGCTTTTAGGGTGCCTCCCTTTAGGGCCATGCCTCCCTTTTAGGGTGGTAATCACACCCATTTTATAGATAAAGAAACTGAGTCTCAGAGAGGCTAAGTCACTCCCTGAAGGTCACACAGCTAGGAGCAGCAGAACTGGGATTTAGACCGAGGTCCATGACTTTAGATTCTATTTGCATAGCCATTGGCTAGGCTGTATGCCCAAACTGAGGAGGGATGGAACAATAAATACATATCATTTATGTAATTAGAGAAAAATTTCTCCATTTTAATAAAAAGACTAAAGATGATGAAGGGGGAAAAAAGCAACAGTGAATCAGGAAAGATTTTGAGAGTGGGCGAGTGGGTGTCTTTCAGAGCATCTAAGAAACAGGTTTTCACAGCCTTCCAGAACTATCTTCAGTTCCAGATTTATCCTGAGGCCAAATCAAGCATAAACAGGCTTATCTAAAGTACAAGGTTGGCCGGGCACAGTGGCTCATGCCTGTAATCCCAGCGCTTTGGGAGACTGAGGCGGGTGCATCACTGGAGGCCAGGAGTTTGAGACCAGCCTGGCCAACATGGCAAAACCCCGTCTCTACTAAAAATACAAAAATTAGCTGGGCGTGGCGGCGCATGCCTGTAATCCCAGCTACTCAGGAGGCTGAGGCACAAGAATCACTTGAACCTGGGAGGCGGAGGTGGCAGTGAGCCGAGATTGTGCCACTGCACCCCAGCCTGGGCGACAGAGTGAGACTCTGTCTCAAAAAAAAAAAAAAAATGTACAAGGCTTACTTCAGTAGGACACTTAGATCAGGAATTTCAGGTCCTGCTACTTGGATATAATACAGATTCTACCTTCCATTACAAACACTGGATAAAACAAGAAACAAATGTAATGTCCAGCTAAATGGAAGGAAAGGGCAATACCCAAGTGCCAGGGGCAAGGAAGAGACCAGGAACCAGCAGGGTTAGTGACAGATGCTGCTGAGGTGGCCCAGGTGTTAGAATGGTTTCAGGCTCCAACAGCTAAGGGTGGGGACTTCAAGTCCACTGAGTGACAGAAGAGGCCTTGGGTCTGCATGAACTGGAGCTGAGACCCCTCTAAAAAGCTGAAATACAAAAGGCTGCCTCTGCACATCAGGTGGGTCAGAAAAAACGTTCCCCACTGGCCCAGAGAATAATAAGACAGCCATCTCTGCTAGGGAGACGGCAGGGGAAAGAGCAGGCTTCTGCAATGAATCCAAACTCCAAGACTGAGCCACACACTGGTGAAAAATCCAAGTCTCTGTGGGGCAGGAGACCCAAACCAAGGAGTTAATGTGAAAAGTGTTTTCAGACTGGTGAAAAGCTTGAGACACCTAGCACAAGAAATGCAAATGCACTGTGTAAGGCTCTTCTAAAACCCAGGGCACACAGGAATCCTGTGGGGTGGTAGGGGGAAGGGCCAAGGGGAGTTGGGAAAAAGCCCAAAGATGAGCTTATAATCAAAAAACCAAACCATACAAGCAAATGAACCACCATAAGGGAGAACAGCAGACACAATTAACAAAAGGAATAGCACTCCAAGAAGGCAAAACAGAAGAGACTATATAGTAGGCTTTAAATTATTACAAACAATGGAAGAACCATACCCTATGAAAAAGAGGTGAATTTGAAAACTATATAGCACTTATAAACTTTTTTTATAAGTCATTGCAATTTTTTGAAATTTAATAGGTTAAGGCAGCAAGGTTGTAATAGCTGAAGAGAGAATTAGTGAACTGGAAGATGGATCTAAGGAAATGACCCAGCTGAAATAAAAAGAAAATATGAAAGAAAGATTAAGAGGCATGCAGACAGAATGAGATGAACCAACATTTGTCTAATAGGAATTACTAATGAAGAAGATAAAGAGAAAGGGGAGAGATAATATTTTCATAATGGAAGATATGATCTTTCTTTAGAATCAAACAACATAAACCATTCCCAGGATAAATAAAAATAAATCCACACCCAGACATAGCATGTACAAAACACCAATGACAAAAATTTTAAAACAGGGAAAAGGGAAAATAGGTTTCTACAAAGAAATGTCGATTAGACTAACAGCTGATTTCTCAACAGCAACAAGACCAAAAACGAATCGCTGAAAAAAAAAAAATCCAGCAACCTTATATTTTACACACAGCCAAATGTTCATTCATGCATGCCTGCAAAATAACAATATTTCCAAAGTTTACAACTCACAGAGCCTCACTGAAAAATCTACAGAAACATGCATTAAATAAGAAAACTATATCCATAAGGAAGAGTGGTTGCAAGAATTAATAGTGTCTGCATAGAATAATAATGAATATGTAGGTTCTTAAGTACTATGGAGTGATACAAATTAAAGTACATTAAGGTCCCCAATTATGAGCACAAGGGCAGAGATGGTGATTAAGTTTAGGCATGTCCAAGATAGCAGACATATAAAAAATGAAATGAATTACTAAAAAAAGTTATAGCATGCCTTTTAAAAGGAGATACATAGCCAGCTCCTGAAGTGTTCCCAGTTGAAATGATTAGTAACTGCCAGTAACTCTCAAGCACTGAGGATGGGTCAAGAGCTTTGCCCAAATTCTAACTTAATCCTCGCAACATTCAGTGAAACAGGTTCTATTTTTGCTGTCATTTTACAGATGAAGAAACTGAGGCTCAGGGAGGCAAAGTGCTTTGCCTAGACAGTAAGAGGCAATACCATGATATAAACCCACATCTATCTGCTGGAAAAGGACAGGTGGTGAGAAGCCACCTGTGTGCCATAGTGGGACTCTGGCTGAGGTCCTTGGGGGGATGCAGGCAAGGGCAAGAACCCCCTTAGAACTACCAGGTGGGTGAGGCCTGCAAAGTGCTGGGTATTTGCTCAGGGTTCTCTGATCATTGGGATTCTGGCACAGGTGCTCAGGAGGAGCTTAGGGAACCCTCTTCCAACCTCAGCACCTGGGGCAAGCTGGCCTCTGCAGCCCACCTTTGGCCTCTACAGCCCCCCTTTGAGGACTGCTGTCTCCGGCCTGGCCACCTGCCCTCCTCCTGGAGGCACCTGGGCCCTGAGACCTCCACTAACCTGCCAGGGAGCAGTGCCAAGAACGGAAGGCTTGCTCCTGACAGAGTGCCGGTCTGCAAAGGTCACACTGCTGGGACGACAAAGAGCCTTTTTGTCCTAGTGCTCCGTGGCCACCACCACCAGCGGAAATCACCCACTCGACCTTCTGGTTTTATAAATTAATAATTAAGCTGGAGCAGGCAACAGGAAGGCTGGCAGGACCAGGGGTGCCCAGGCCCTCACCCTGTACAGTCACACCAGCATGGACAAAAGAACAAAAGAGGCCCTGAGTTTTCTTCCCAGAACTGTGAGCCCTTCTGAGCTGAAAACACCTCATTCCCTCAGCTCGAGATAACAGATCCTAAAGTGCTTTGCAAAGGGAAGAGCATCTTATCAACACCCAGGTTATTCTGTTTGTCTTACTGGGCCGTATGGCATGTCTGAGAGTTGATTAAATTTCCACGATACATTCTGGAGACCATTAACTCACAAAAAAATATCCTGCCAGGATGGCAGTAGGGGAGGCAAGAAAGAAAGATGCAGCGGGGATCTAATTACCACCAATCTGCGGAGCGAGGACGTCTTGGAGAGGACTGCCAGTGGCTTGCACAGAGAAAACACAAATTCTTTTGAAACAGACCTGAGCCACCCAGTGAGACCCTAGGAAACAGAGGGGGCGGCACCCTCCTGCCTCTTCCTCCCAGCCGTGGTCCCCACTCCCCTCCCACTGCCCACTACTGAGCTTGTTCTCCCTGGGGGCAACCCACCTAGATTCCAGAACTTTCCACATCACCCAGAACCAATCCTATCTGCCTCAAGGTTCAGTTCTCCCCTTGCCGACTTGGTAAACAATGTGTGGAACTCTACTGACGAGGTTGTGGGGTAACAGCATGGCCTCCCCCAGATCACACAGATGTGCCGACTCTCAGAGTCTCAGTCCAGAGCATGTGGGGTTCTCGGCATGCGGGAGAGGCGGTTTCTCCCGGCACTGCACTTGGCAAATCCCACTAGAAGGCCTGGTTTTGAGTCTGGATTCCCTACCCAGCAACTAAGTGATCTTGGGCAGTCATTTCCTCTGTCCAAACCTCAGTTTGCCCATCTATAAACTGGCAGCAATAGTCCCACCCTCAAAGGGCTTTTCGGCAGATCAGATGATTGACAAGTGCTCAAGAAAGAGCAGCTGTCACCTCATTCACAGCTGGCTGCGTTTTTTAAGGAGCGGAACTGGTGGCTCAAAGAAGGACACAGCCTGGATGAGACATCTGAGCGAAGTGGCACAGGACGGCTCCAGCACCGAGCTCAGTGCACATGGAACGCCATCCTCCAGGGTCCCGCTCTGTGGCTGCGACAGATGGTGAGATGATGGGGCCCAGGTGAACAGAATGAAAAATACCAGCATGGGCTAGAGCAGGCAGGTGCCTTTGGTTGATCCCCAGCCCTGTGGGAAGCTTCCACAGCGGGCATTCTCCTGCAAGTTTCCCCTGTGAGCCCCCAGAGAGGAGGGCAGGGGAGGCCTGGAAGCCCCCATCCAGTCAAGGCAGAAAGGGTTCCAGAGGCTGGGGGGGTCCCATGATCTGGACCACTTTGTGGATGACTCCAGGCCAGGGTCTCCCCCCGCCCCAGAGCTCAGCATACAGGACTGGTCCTTCCCCCTGGTTTCACGGACACATTCATTCCTCCTCTGCTGAGGAGCCACTGTCTGAGGAGGGAGCCTGAGGTGGGAGGATCACTTGAGCCTTGGAGTTAGAGGCTGCAGTGAACTGTGATTGCACCACTATGCTCCAGCCTGGGCAACAGAGCAGGGCCATCTCAAAAACAAATTAATTTTAAACAATCAATAAAAGTAATTGTTTGAATCATTTTCTTACTGAGGCATGATTTCCATACAATGGAAAACACTTCACTGTTCAGAGACCCTAACAAGGGCAGAGGGCCCTCCCCAGAGGCACTCAGACAATTCCACATCCTATTTCATGGGGTTCATGGACTCCCTGAAGATGCCAGGGGAAAAGCCACAACCTAGCCCAGAGGAAGAGAAAAGGCACGGGGGACTGGCTGGTTGGCTGTTCAGCTTACCAAGCTTTGGCGGACGACAGAACAGTGTGGAGCTGGCTGGTCCACCCTGGCCCATCAGACCCTTCCTCCCGCTATGCTACAGTTGTTGGGGTGCTCCCCTGTCCCCCTGGAACCCCTGAGCTTCTGGAGGGCAGGGACCGCATCTGGTCCACCCTGGTAGCAGAATATGGCAATTGGTGAATGAGCCGAGGCCACCGTCTGAGGCCACTTAAAGACTTTAGAACCAAGAAGTATTACCCAGGGGCGAGAACGCAGTGGAGAAACCAGCGCCACCCCCACCAGCCACGCTTGGCTACGCCAGTCCTCCCTGCCATCTCTAGCTCCTTCTCCAAATGAGATTAGACCAGGAATGGAATCCGACTCTCTTTTTTTCTTTGGAGACAGTCTCGCACTGTCACCCAAGCTGGAGTGCAGTGGCACCAACTCCTGGGCTCAGGCGAACCCCCTGCCTTGGCCTCCCAAAGTGCTGGGATTACAAGCATGAGCCACCGCACCAGCCTGCGACTCTACTTCTCATTATGATGCCTGTGGCCTTGGGCAGGCACCTCCTCTCTTGAGCCTCAATGTCTGCATCTGTAAAATGGGAAACCAACCGTGTTCCTGGGAGGATTCCATCAGCTACTGCGGATACGCTGCCTGGCTCAGCTGAACGTGTGGCAGATGCCACGCGCCCGAGAAACATTAGCTCTTACCATCATGAGGTCTGAACTCTAGGTCTGGAGATTTTTTTTTTTTTTTTCCTTTTCCTTCTGGCAGCTTCTTGGCATCAACATAGACATGCCTGAAGAGCTGTTTTGGAGCCTGAAGGAAAAAACAGACCCTCCACCTTTCCCAGAATCCTCTGTCTTATTATTTCCTTTCCAACTCCAGGAGCAGACACGGATGGGGGGGACAGGAAGTGGGGCCAGCTCAAGGTGGTGAAGGACAACTGACTCAGGTGAATAATTCCCAAGAAGCCCTTCTCTCCGTCAGGTCCCACTTTGTACCTCGGTCCACACACCAGACACCACTTGGCTGCTGTCACCACGGGTGCGTGGGGAAGGTGAGCTCAATCACACCCCCGGGACGCCTTCGCTCGGGCTTTTCATATGAATCTTAACAATCTAGATGTGAGCCTTCTTGGCTCAGAAAAGATTCCTGGGAATACTCGTTTCCGGTTTAAATCAATCAATGAGACTCTAACAGGCAGGGAGAAGGAAGGTGGGCACGCAGACCTGATGATGCCCTGTGTGGCAAGCTGCTGCTCAGGCATATTTTTGGTGGGGCTGGGGAGATGCTGGGAGGGTTGGCAGCCGAGGACAGCTGGTGAGGGTGGCACTGGGTTTTCCAGTGGCTGCCTGTTCCTGAACAATACACCTTGAGTTTTAAAGTCCCCAGGGACTGTGCCCCTTTAACGTGAGCCTCTTATGCTCTCACTGAACCACCAAGTGCATACAAAGGTGAACAAGACACGTTCTTTCTGCTCTAGGGAGCTCCAAGTTTCGAAGGGGTGGCAGGTGACAGAGTTGACAAGTATAACATGGTGTGATGCCTGCTATTGCGGGCTCCAGGAGCGCTGAGGATGGGTGTTTAACCCTTAAAGGTCGGATGGAGAGATGGCTTTCTGGATGGGAGCAGCAGGTAAGCCAACCCCTGAACAATAATGAGCATTCGTTTCATAAAGAGACAGGGTTAACGCTGTGCGCGGTGGCTCACACCTGTAATCCCAGCACTTTGGGAGGCAGAGGCAGGCGGATCACTTAAGGTCAGGAGTTTCAGACCAGCCTGGCCGACATGGTGAAACCCTGTCTCTACTAAAAATACAAAAATTAGCCGAGCATGGTGGCGGGCACCTGTAATCCCAGCTACTCACGAGGCTGAGGCAGGAGAATTGCTTGAACCCAGGAGGCAGAGGTTTCAGTGAGCTGAGATCGCGCCACTGCACTCCAGCTTGGGCAACAAGAGTGAAAATTCATCTCAAAAAAAAAAAAAAAGAGAGAGAGACAAGGTTAAGAGGAAAGGTTTGAGTTTGTTTTTTCTTGTTTTTGTTTTTTGTGAGATGGAGTTCACTCTGTCGCCCAGGCTGGAGTACAGTGGCATGCTCTCAGCTCACCGCAACCTCCGCCACCCAGGTTCAAGCGATTCTCCGACCTCAGCCTCCCGAGTAGCTGGGATTACAGGCGTCTGCCACCGCGCACAGCTAATTTTTGTAGTTTTAGTAGAGACAGGGTTTCACTATCTTGGCCAGGCTGGTCTTGAACTCCTGACCTCATGATCTACCTGCCTTGGCCTCCCAAAGTGCTGGGATTATAGGCGTGAGCCACCACGCCCGGCCTAGACCTTACCCTGGGTGGAGACAGAGAAAGGCTCCCGTACGTAAACACCTGATTGTACACATCAAATGAAAACAGTGCTCCAGGCAGAGGAACAGCTTTTGTGCAAAGGCCTGAAGGTGAGAAAAAATACGGGAGTCTTTTCCTATCCCTTCTTGGTTCCTAGAAATTCAAGTGGCAGCTACACACAGTGAAAGCATGCTGGCAGTAAGAAAGCAGTCTTGGGGCCAGGCATGGTGGCTCATGCCTGTAACTCCAGCGCTTTCAAGAGGCTGAAGTGGGAGGATCACTTTGAGGCCAGGAATTTGAGACTAGTCTGATCAACATGGCAAGACCCCTGTCTCTACAGAAAAATTTAAAATTAGCTGGTGTGGTGGCGCACACCTGCAGTCATAGCTACTGGGAAGGCTGAGGTGGGAGGATCGCTGGAGCCCAGGAGTTCGAGGTTGCAGTGAGCTTGATCATGCCCCTTGCACTCCAGCCTGGGTGAGAGAGCAAGACCCTGCCTCAAAAACTAAAAATTAAAAAAAACTGTAAAAAAAGAAAGTAGGCTTGGGGATCCCATGATCTCCAACTCCTCCACTTAGCAGCTGTGGGACTGCAGGCAAGCTGGTTTACCTCTCTAAGCCTCAGTTTCCTCACCTGTAAAATGGCCCTAACACTGCCTTCCTGGGGGATCATTACTATAAAGAGTGTTATGCAGAGAGCACCAGCGTGGAGCCTGATGCTCAGCAGGTGCTTGGGGAATTATGTTCATTATCACCAGCCTCAGCCTGACCTTCTGGTCCTTTCTGGATGGTGTTCTCAGAAAGGGACCAAGCTGATTCCTCCCCAGAAAGTCAGGGGTCATCTTGGTCCTCAGGGAGGCGGGGGAGTCAGCAGCCCTGTGGGCTCAGTCTGTCCTCTGGCCACCTTACCCTGAGGCTTTTCTCCCTTTTTCTCAGGGAAGATTCCCAAGGGAATGGCCTTGGAGGAAGGGCCCTGCCTGACCCACTGGGTCTCTGGGAGCTGACGTTCCCATGCCAAGCCGATCGTCTCGCACGTAACCTTATCAAATCCACACAATGACTTCAGGATCCAGGTGGGGGTACTGAGGCTCAGAGAAGTAAGATGACTTGCCCAAGGTCATGTAGCTCAGAGAGGTGGGACCAAGACTCAACTCTCAGCTATGGCTCGGAGCGACCAGGACATACAAGAGTGTTTAAAGCATGGTCAATAACAAACCATGTACATGTGTTTGGTCTAACTACTTCATGTATATTAACTCAATCCTTCCCAACAACTTCAAGGGAGGTACTATGACTATGCCCATTTTATAGTAGATAAAACTGAGGCTCAGAGAGCATAAGTGACTTGCCCAAGGTACCTGGCAAGGCCCCTGAAGCCAGGCTCCTGCCACAGCCTGAGCCCTGACGACAGCTGTGTCCTCATCTCATGCATTCTTATTTACTGTTGCTGGCTTGTCCCTGCCACAGGGCCTCTGCATTCGACGTCCCCTCGGCCCGAGATGCCCTTTCCACTGATTTGCACACCCCTGGCTCATTCTTACTTGGATTTCTGTTCCATTATCACCTCCTCAGGGAGGACCTCCGGATCCACCCTAAAGCTCCATTCTCATGCCACCCTGCTATGCCTCGTTCACAGTTTAACACCTGTCGGGCGTTTTGTTTACTGTGTGTCCCCCTCCAGGAACAGCAGCCTCTCCGAGTCATCTCTAAATCCCCAGCCCCTGGTCTATAAATATTTGCTAAGTGGGCAAAAGTGACCGAATTACGCAGTCCCTTTCGGAGGACTGGGGGCAACTTTCCACCTACCTAAAGTTCCACCTGCCTACTCTAGTCTAACCTCAGAACCTCCTCTCCGACCCTCTCCATCTCCCTTGGGTTATGAAGTCTGAGCTCTGGGCAGCAAGAAGGGAAGCCGCTGCAGCTACATCTAGGAAGGTTACAGAGCAGGAACACAGCATCTGTCATCCCAGTGGGAGGCTGGACCCAGGAAACTGACAAGACTCCCAGCATGCTCTGCAGCCCCTCCTCCCTGTCAAACCCACAACCAGGTGGAATTCCCGAGTGCCCCGTGGGCTGCCGGAGAGCCCACCCTTCCAACGGGGATCCCAGCCACAGAGAATGCCCATCGACACCCATCCAGATTCAAAGCAGTGGGAGGCGAGGAGAGGGCACATGAGAAATAATAAAAGCAGAGGAGACCCAAGCAAGTAAGAGCTAGAGGAATCCCTCCTTTCTCTCTCATATTAGTCTTCGGATTGAAGTGCATAAAACTTTTTGAGTAAGTAAAATATCCAACATAGTTCAAAATGAACATATAAAAACGTTTACGGAGAAAAAGCTCACTCTCCCTTCATCCCTTCCACTCCCCCCGCAACCCCCACCAAGCATCCATTCGTACTTTCTGGTGGATTCTTCCAGTCTGCAAATATAGCAATTACAAATGTATACTCTTATTTTCCCCTCTTTTTACATTTTCTATTTCTTTTTACTTTGCGGCTCCAGCTCAAAGGATCCTTTTTTAAAAAACAGAAAAAAGGGTACCATATTATATATGCTGAGCCACACCTTTTACTTCTTTAGTTGGATATTTCTATATCTCTACACACACAGAGATACAGATATAGACGTATAAGTGCGTGCATACACACACCAGTTATTAATGGTTTTCTGCAATTTTCATCCAGTTCTCCTGGAAAGGGGTATTTAGATTGGGGGTCAAGAGGGGTTGCTTTTCAGCTGACACACAAACAGCTGGGCCACCCTCTCTTGGTGATCAATACTGGACGCTGGTTCTCTGCACTTGAAGCAGGTGCCAGGAGCTAGCTCTTTCCCAAAATATCTGCAGCTCCCATTTCCTGAGCGTCTACCAGGTACTAGGAGAACTCTTACAACAGAGAAGGAAAGCTGAGAATCAGAGAGGTAAAGTGACTAGCCCAAGGTCACACAGCCAGGAAGTGCAGCTGGCAGGGTTCACAGCCGGTCTGTCGCTCGCCAAAGCCGGTTTGCCCACACACCTGGCCCCCGCGGTCTCCAGTCCACACCCTGGTCCACAGCCAGAGGCAGAACTGGCCATGCCGAGTTCAGGACCCAGGGCCAAGTCCCCAGCCCGGCTGAACTCGGGCAGAGAAGCGCTTTCTCCGCCATTTCCCTGCGGGCAGCTCGGCCAGGCCTCCCAGGGCTCCCCGCCTCCGGGCCGATGCGGGGCGCGCAGCCTTTGCTGGTCCCGGGAGACTCAGCGAACTCAGGGGAGGACGCTGGGCTCCGGGCAAAGTGCTCTGCGGCCGCTGCCTCGCTAAGTCTCCCAGCCACCCGCGGGGATGAGGCTGCCTGAACCCATTTTACAGATGCGAGGACGAAAGCAGGCGCCGGGCGCCGGCTCTCCCGACTAAGGTCACCCGGCCGGGGAGCGTCGGAGACCTGTTCCCACCCAGGTCCGCCGACTTCAAAACTTTCCGCTCTCGCGCTCACGAATGCAAACGACTCTCAGGTGTGGGGCGCGCGCGCCAGCGGGGGTGCCTGAGGGACTTGCCCGCCCGGCCTGAGGCACCTGCCCTGCGCTTGGGAAGCCTGGGCCCCGCTCCCTCCCCGGTCCGCAGTCCCCCGGCCAGGGAGTTCCCGGGCCAGTCCGAAGCTGAGCGGCTGCGGCACTGAGCATCGCCGCGGAGCTCCTCGCCGCAGCCCGCGAGGTGGCCAGCGGGGACCCATTTGAAAGAGGAGGAGACTGAGGCGCAGAGAGGGCCCGCCACTGGCCCAAGGTCACACAGCGCGGCGGCGGGCCGGGGTCCCCAACAGTGGCCGTTCGGAGGTCCCGCCCCGGTCCCCGCGCCGCCCCCCGCGGGTACTCACAGCCGGTCTTGCCCTCGAGCTCCCGCACCTCCTCAGACGCGGAGTGGGCAGCGCCCATGGTGCCCGCGGCGGGGGCCCCGGGGCGCGCGTCCCTCTCAGGCCCCGCACTGGCTTCGGCTGCGCAGCGGCGGGACTGGCCTCGGGTCCGGCCTCGGGTCGGGACGCCGGCGAAGGCTCGGAGCCGCGGGTTCCGCGTGGGGCCGGAGCGGGGCCTCATATAACGGCGGAGGGCGGCGCGCCGCGGTCCTAGCGCACGCCGGTTTCGCGCACTGCGCGGCTAGGGGAGCGCCCCGCCCCGCCCCGGCCCGGAAACCGCCGGGAAGGGGACCCCGGAGCCCACCGCTCTGGAGTCCCCGTTCGTGCAGCAGTGCTCACGTACCTCGTCCCTTCCGCACACCTGCTGGATCTGGAAGGAAGCAGGTGTGAGCAAATTTGGGGGCGTGGGTAGGAGGGGTGGGACCCCTGGGAGGTGCTATGCCCACTCCCAACCCATCCCACCTTACATCCTCCAGATCTTAGGAGGGAAACTCCACTGAGATAGTCAAGGAAGTCAGCGAGCATGAAATAGCTCTATGGAGAACAACAGTAATAATAATCCTATTTGAAAATGCACCATGCGCTTTGGTTTTTTCCAGGAAAGCCCCAGCACCTTCTGAGGTGAACACACCCACGTGGCGGCCCGTGTGGGCCCTGCACAGCCCGGTGGCTGAGAGGCACCTCAAACTGCAGGAGCGGGCTGGGCGCATGGCTCACGCCTGTAATCCCAGCACTTTGGGAGGCCAAGGCGGGCGGATCACTTGAGCTCATGAGTTCGAGACCAGCCTGGCCAACATGGTGAAACCCCGTCTCTACTAAAAACACAAAAATTAGCCAGGCGCGGTGGCACATGCCTGTAATCCCAGCTACTCCGGAGGCTGAGGCAGGAGAATCACTTGCACCTGGGAGGCAGAGGTTGCAGTGAGCTGAGATCTTGCCACTGCACTCCAGCCTGGGCGACAGAGCAAGACTCTGTCTCAAAAAACAAACAAACAAAAAAACAACTGCAGAAGTGGGCCCAGGAGGCTGCATTTGGGACAAACTGCTGGAGAGAAGGCAATGCCGGTGGTCCCCATGCCCATTAGGGAAGTTCTGGGTTAAGATGGCTTGAGGGGTTGGCTCTCCATCCAGTTGGGGTGACTGGGGCCGATGCTGTTGCCTGTGTAATGTGATTCCTCCTCCTTAAAATAAGGATAAGTTAATGAGATGTCCACCAGAGGGCCTGGCGTGGACACAGCACATGGCCACAGAGGCTGGTGGGCGCTATGGAATCTTGTCCCCTGGAGAGGCACACAGCCAGGGCAGAACATCAAGGTCAAGGCTCTCCTGAAGGCTCTGCAGTGCTTAGTGACACCACCATCAATGACCGTCAGGTATCAGGTCTGTTCTGAACGTTAGTCTCGATGATAAATGTTGGGGAGGAAGGGGGACAGGGTAGGGGGCAGGAGTTTTTCGGTGCCCACAGAGGGGACTCGGGTGGACCTACCTCCATCAGTTTCACAGGCTGCTGGGAAGGGGGCTGCTGAGAACTGCTGTTCATTCCTGCAGACTACAGGCTCAAGCCAAGGGTCACAGCCCTTTCCAGGGGCAGGAGGTGACTTTCAGAGCCCGAGGTAGAGGGTGGGAGTTGGTCCTAAAACCTCCTAGAGCATCAGAATCAGCCCCTTCCTGGTTGCAAATCCAGCTTTTGGCCAGGTGCAGTGGCTCATGTCTGTAATCTCACCACTTTGGGAGGCTGAGACAGGAGGATTGAGCCCAGGAGTTTGAGACCAGCCTGGGCAACATAGCAAGACCCCAGCTCTACCAGCAATTAAAACTTTTTAAAAATGAGCTGGGCACAATGGTGTGCGTCTGAAGTCCCAGCTACTTGGGAGGATGAGGCAGAAGGATCGCTTGAGCTCAGGAGTTAGAGGCTGCAGTGAGCTCTGATTGCACCACTGCACTCCAGCCCAGGCAACAGAACGAGACCCTGTCTCTAAAATGGAAAATCCAGCTTCCTCTTCCACTGCCTGTCTGCACTCGTAGAGCTAAGGCAGCACCTGCAATCTGCATTTTAAAGCACTCTCCAGAGGGCAGTGCAAGACCTGATCAAGGTGGAAAGATGTTGGCTGTGGGTCATCAGCTGATCTGAGCCGGCAGGACAGCTGACCTAGGGACTGCATTTTGGTTTAAAGGATTCTGGAAACAGGCAGGCCTCTGGGATCAGGAAAGGATCCCCAATACCCCTGGGAGTTCTGAGCCGCTGAGCCAGCCCATTACGTACAGCTGCTGGGAGCAATTTTATTCCAACTTAAAATGTCAGTTCCTGGAATTTTATTATATTAAACTAGTCAAGGATTAAATGATGGAACTGTCTGATGTGGGGGATAGGAAGTGGCATTCTCTGGACATCAGCCCCTCCTGCTTGGCACAGTTGCTCTGGTGGGGACAAAAGCCCTGGGACAAGGAGAAGGGCACATGGCTTCACATTGTCCCTTGGTGATCTCAAGGAAGCCCCTGGTATCTAGTATGAAGGGAGTCTGTCCTACCCGATCACCTGTCTACCCTGACCCACTGACCGCTGTTAGCTACTAGACAAGCACTTGTACTTGTTCCTTTTGCCTGAAACTCTCTTGCACTCCCGCTTCCTCTTCAGACCTCAGTGGAAACTCACATCCTCAGGGAGGCCTTCTCAGAGTCCTCATCCCCTCTCCTGGGTCCACAGCCAAACAAGCCACCACCACCAGTCAGCAGGGAGCTGGGAGGCGGGAAGTCTTGCTGAGGATGACAGAGGAGGATTTATTCCTAATAGCAGGGCTTGGAGAAGTAATCAGGAGATCCTTGGAGCAGCACGAAGGCAGAAAAAACCAAGGCACAATTTATGCATTCGTTCAATCATTTATTCATTGCACATTTATTGAGCACCTACTATGTTCAGGGCTCTTGCTAGGTCCTGGAGCCACAGCCAGGAATAAGATGCCACCTTCGCTCCTGAAGAACTCCTGGTGGGGTGAGGAGACAGACACACGGGCAGTGACAAAGCAGATGGGTAAACAAGGGCTGACGTGATGGAGCCCACAGAGAGATGGAATGTTCAAACCAGAATGGGCCCCTGGAGAGACTCTGTCATCCCTAAAGCTGAGCTTCAGGAAGTCCAGGACTGTCCCCAACTGTGGTCCCGAAGGGATACAGCAAAGCCAAATTCTTGGTGGACAGATGTCTCTGTGGGGGCCCCTGCAGTGGCACCCACCATCTGCCCGGGCTCTGCCCTCCTCTGGCAATGATGTGCACACCGCAAGGCGCCCTCCACGCAAAGCCAGCTGCTGCCTGTTCCGGGACGTCATGGCTTTCATTCAAACCTACCAATGGCTCTGCAGGCGTCAACAAAGCAAGAAGCAAGAATGAGGTCTGCAGCTTTGCATGGGGTCTGGCCAGGGCTCATTGGATTTTTTGTCTAGAGCCCTGGAAGAGGGGCACCCTGCTGGGGGGCAAGCTTTATCCCCCCCAATAACACAGCATGACTTTTGGAGGACTGGGAAACACTTTAGTCACCAGGCAACTGCGTCTTTTCTCCCAGAGGACCTCCTCCTGGAGGAGCTGATTAAAAGTGGTGACCGCAATTCATATAGCTGGTCCCTGTCAAGCCGCAAAGAGCAGCTGAGCCCAGAGATGGCCAGGATGGTCTTCATTTGGCTCTCCCACCTTCCTGTCATGGAGGGCTATGAAACCATACTTGGGCAAGTTAACCTCTCTCATCCTCAGTTTCCCCATCTGCAAAGTGGCAATTACATTGTGAGGGTTAAATGCAGATTCATATATGTAAGGTGATTCATACATGTGAGGTGATTGTGAAGGTTAAATGCAGATTCATATATGTAAGGTGATTCATACATGTAAGGTGATTGTGAGGGTTAAATGCAGATTCATATATGTAAGGTGATTCATACATGTAAGGTGATTGTGAAGGTTAAATACAGATTCATATATGTAAGGTGATTCATACATGTAAGGTGATTGTGAGGGTTAAATGCAGATTCATATATGTAAGGTGATTCATACATGTAAGGTGATTGTGAGGGTTAAATGCAGATTCATATATGTAAGGTGATTCATACATGTAAGGTGATTGTGAAGGTTAAATGCAGATTCATATATGTCAGGTGATTCATACATGTAAGGTGATTGTGAGGGTTAAATGCAGATTCATATATGTAAGGTGATTCACACATGTAAGGTGATTGTGAAGGTTAAATGCAGATTCATATATGTAAGGTGATCATACATGTAAGGTGACTGTGAAGGTTAAATGCAGATTCATATATGTAACATTGTGAGGGTTAAATGCAGATTCATATATGTCAGGTGATTCATACATGTAAGGTGATTGTGAGGGTTAAATGCAGATTCATATATGTAAGGTGATTCATACATGTAAGGTGATTGTGACGGTTAAATACAGATTCATATATGTAAGGTGATTCATACATGTAAGGTGATTGTGAGGGTTAAATGCAGATTCATATATGTAAGGTGATTCATACATGTAAGGTGATTGTGAGGGTTA
Source organism: Homo sapiens (assembly GCF_000001405.40). Lineage (NCBI taxonomy): Eukaryota > Metazoa > Chordata > Mammalia > Primates > Hominidae > Homo > Homo sapiens. The sequence continues at coordinate 117,103,804 of NC_000012.12, forward strand.
AATGCAGATTCATATATGTAAGGTGATTCATACATGTAAGGTGATTGTGAAGGTTAAATGCAGATTCATATATGTCAGGTGATTCATACATGTAAGGTGATTGTGAGGGTTAAATGCAGATTCATATATGTAAGGTGATTCATACATGTAAGGTGATTGTGAAGGTTAAATGCAGATTCATATATGTAAGGTGATCATACATGTAAGGTGACTGTGAAGGTTAAATGCAGATTCATATATGTAACATTGTGAGGGTTAAATGCAGATTCATATATGTAAGGTGATTCATACATGTAAGGTGATTGTGAGGGTTAAATGCAGATTCATATATGTAACATTGTAAGGGTTAAATGCAGATTCATATAGAGAAGGTGCTTAAAACTGCCTGACACCGTAAGTGCTAGCCAGTGGTGAGCTGGTAAACAAGTTCTCTGAAAAGGGCAGGAGGGGCAGAAGTCCTAATCTGTAGCAGTTGCCAATTTCTGTGTGTAAATACTCGTGCCATAGTCAATTTCAAGTTACTGATAATTTAACAATAGGCTTGCAAAATCCCTGAATTTTGTTTTTTTAGATATGGGGTCTCACTATGTTGCTCAGGCTAGCGTCGAACTCCTGGGCTCAGAGGATCCTCCTGCCTCAGCTTTCCAGGTAGCTGCAAATACAGGCATGCGCCACCATGCCCAGCTTAAAATCCCTGAATATTTAACCATTTGCTCTTGCAAGCCAGTCAAGACCAGGAAACTACTACCCAGTTGACTGTCATATGTTCGTTTATTTGTTCATGCATTCACTATTGAGTGCCAGGAGTTTGGACACTACAGTGAAGGAGACAGTCCCTGACCTCAGGGATCCCAAAGTCTGCAAGGAAAGAGATGTGAACAGAACATCATGGTATGCTAGCCGGTACCAGTCACTGCAGGGGCCCGGAGGAGAGGCACCCAGCACATCCGCATTTTATTGATAGAAAAACCAAGATGTTCCCAAAGGATTGTAAACCAGAATCAGAGCATAGACTCGAAGGTGTCTGAATAGCAGTTTCTGTAATTCACCTGCCCCTTCTAATGGTTTAGCTTGGGGTAACTCCCAAGGCATGGTAATGTTCTAGGAGTAACACGACATTTGTCTTAGCATTTGGGCCACTGACCAAGAGATTTATGGGGACTCCAAGTACCATTGAGCCCGCCTTTGCAAAAATTATAACAGAAAGTTATGACACCGAGAGTGATCTGATCTCACCAACCCTCATCTTGCCTCTAACTTTCAAAATGCCCTTGGTCATTCCTGGACTTGAGCCGAGCTAACTTTGGGAGAAATTTAATTTATAGTTTAAATGAGAATAGCCCTTCCCCAAAACTAAGCCGCCTTCATAAAACTAATGAAAGGCTACCAGGTGGCCGGCCACAGTGGCTTAAGCTTGTAATCCCAGCACTTTGAGAGGCTGGGGTGGGAGGATCGTTTGAGCCAGGAGTTCAAGACTAGCCTGGGCAACTTAGTGAGACCCTGCCTCTACAAAAAAAAAAAAAAAAAAAAATTAGCAGTGCATGATGTCATTTGCCTTTGGTCCCAGCTACTCAGGAGGCTGAAGTGGGAGGATCACTTGAGCCCAGGAGTTTTAAGCTGCAGTGAGCCACGATCACACCACTGCATTCCTGCCTGGGGGACAGAGTAAGAACCTGTTTCTTAAAAAAAAATGAAAAGAAAAGAAAGGCCACCAGGTTAGGAGGATGAGAGGGGCCTAAATTTCGCTAAGACGCAGGCATAGTTAAATGACAACCAGCCATTATTCCAGAGGATACAAGATTTGCAACTGTCCCAATTCACTATTGTGGAACCTAAGATTGGCCTTTTGAGATGTCTTTACCTGCATTTCTGATGACCGGATGGCCCCACCCAGACCTTCAACTCTTGGCTCAGCCGGTCCTGGGGAGCCCGCCCAGAAGTGGACTTGGTGCACAAGGACCAATTTCCACAACCCTGTGATTGCATCCCCAACCAATCAGCAGCCCCCATTCCCCAGCCCCCTGCCCACCAAAGTATCCTTTAAAAACCCTAGCCTCCAAATTTTCAGATTGATTTGATTTGAGACAGGAGTGGCCAACCTTGTGTCAATTAAGCTCTTTCTTTATTGCAATGCCGTCGTCTCAGTGAATTGGTTTTGTCTGTGCAGTGGGCAGGAGGAACTCATCAGGTGATTACATCATCTTGCTTGGCCTCTTAGCGAAGACCGCACCTAAACCACATCAAACAAGCAATGTGTGGTGAAGCTCTCATAAAGTAGGTCCAGGGAGAGGGAGACCGCACAGGTGGCCTGCGTCAGTGATTTGGCTCTGACACAGACGCTTTTTCTCATAAGATCATTCAGGCTCCTTAGGCTGGTTTCATATGTCGTGGTCTCTTGGTTTTCGTGTCAATGGGATCAGAGATTCACCCGCAATTTGCATTTTGAAATTAAAGTTATCGTTTTGATTTTCTTTTGAACAATCTTTTTTCCCGAGGCACCCTGATCTTCCCCCATAGCCGTGGGCATGCTATAGGAGATCGATTCAGATCTGAGTTGAATCCTGGCTCTGCCCACTCCCTGGCTGTGTACCATTGGGTTGGTTATATTGCAACTCCAAACCTCAATGTCTTCATCGGTATAATAGGCCCCACAATCCCATCTTTGAAGAGTCGGAACAAGGGTGAAATGGCTGGCATAGAGCACACCCTTCCCAACTGTCTGTTCCTTTTTTTTTGGCAGGGGGGTGGTAGTTGGACATCAAGGACTTTATAGCCAGCCTGACTCTCCTGTCTCTTCTAGCCTCCCGTCTCTCCCGGTCCCGTGACTCCCAGTGAGACACATCAATGAAACTCAGACTCGAATCTCTGTCCAGCTCCCAGTTCTTACAGAATCAGATTTGGTCTTGGGAGAATGATCGCAGCAAGGGGGCTTTAGAATAGTTCCTTCTCTTCATTCTCTGAGAGCTTTAAACTCAACCTTGAGTTAGAAAATCACCCCTGGCCCCTTCCTGGGTGGCAGAATCACTGCTGTCACCAGCATCATTGCTTCAGCCCATGGCTGGAGCTGAGTGGCCCAGACCTCAGAGGGACGCTGCCCTACAGGAGGGCAGGCTGGCTGCCTAAAAATAGGAGGAGACTGGGTTTTTGGGGAGGGCAGCTTAAGCTTGTTTTTCTATTATTTATATAATTATAAATAGTGACCAATTACCGGAACTTGCAGGGGGCAGATGGAATGTTGTCCCTGGATGGGCTTCAAACTCTGCATTGTTGTCCAAGAAACAAAGTTACCAACCAGAAAGAGGTGGCAAGGGCCCCAAATCTGTTTTCACTTCACCATCACTTTACATCGAGCCTGGTAGGGGAGGCTGGGCAGGGGCCGGGGGGTGGGAGCTGTTGAAGAAGACAGGAATAATCAGCATTTGGAAGACTCTGCTAGGACCTCTTCTCAGGTAGAAATGCAACAGCCCTGGGTAGAGATGCTTTTATTTATTCATCATTTGTGATTTGGAGAGAGGCATCCTACACCATTAGAGAGGACTGTGTGGTAGGCAGAATGTGGCCCCCAAAGACGCCCACGTCCTAATCCCTGGAATGGGTGAATATGTTAGGTTACATGGCAAGAGGGAATTAAAGGAGCAGATGGAATGAAGGTTGCTAATCAGCTGACCCTGAGATGGGGGAGATTACCCTGGATTATCTGGGTGGGCCCAATATAATCACAAGAGTCTTTATATGTGAAAGAGGAAGGCAGGCTGGGCTCGGTGACTCGTGCCTGTAATCCCAACACTTTGCGGGGCTGAGGAGGGCAGATGGCTTGAGTCCAGAAGTTCGAGACCAACCTGGGCAACATGGTGAAACCCCATACGTACAAAAAATTCAAAACAATTAGCCGGGTATTGGTATTGCATGCCTGTCGTCCCAGCTACTCAGGAGCCTGAGGTGGGAGGATCACCTAAGTCTGGGAGGCGGAGGCTGCAGTAAGCCATAATCATGCCACTGCACTCCAGCCTGGGTGACAGAGTGAGATCCTGGCTCAAACCAAAACCAAACCAAACCAAATCAAAGAGGAAGGCAGGAGGGTCAGAGCCAAGAGTGACATGATATGAGAAAGACTCAATCGGCCATTGCTGTTTGAAGATGAAGGAAGGGCACCAAGGAAGCTAGGCGGGCTCTAAACTGGAAAATACAAGAAAACACATTCTCCTCTGGAGCCTCTGGAAGGAACACAGCCCCACTGACACCTTGATCTTAACCCAGCAAGACCCATTTTGGACTTCTGACCTCCAGAACCATAAGATCATCATTTTTTTTTTTGAGACAGAATCTCGCTGTTCCCCAGGCTGGAGTGCAATGGTGCAATCTTGGCTTACTGCAACCTCTGCCTCCCAGGCTCAAGCGATTCTCCTGCCTCAGCCTCCCAAGTAGCTGGGATTACAGGCAGGTGGCACCGTGCCCAGCTTATTTTTGTATTTTTAGTAGAGGCAGGGTTTCACCATGTTGCCCAGGCTGGTCTTGAACTCCTGACCTCAGGTGATCCACCTGCCTCAGCCTCCCAAAGTGCTGAGATTACAGGCGTGAGCTTTTGTTTATATAAGCCACTGAGTTGGTATAATAATTTGTTGCAGCAGCAACAGGAAATAAATACACACGCTGGGTTTGCACTTGGAAAAATACAGTGCCAAGGAGACAGCGTTGACCAGACTGTCTTCCTACAGGGATGATTTTTCTTTTTTCTTGAGGCAGGGTCTCGCTCTGTTGCCCTGGCTGGAGTGCAGTGGCATGATCACAGCTCTCTGCAGCCTCAAACTCCTGGGCTCAAGCGATCCTCCTGCCCCAGCCTCCTGAGTAGCTGGGATTACAGGCACACACCACCAAGCCTGGCTAAGTTTTAAATATTTTGTAGAGACAGGGCCTCGCTATGTTACCCAGGCTGGTTTTGAACTCCTGGTCTCAAGCAGTCTGCCTCAGCCTCCCAAAGTACTGGGATTACAGGCATGAGCCATTGGCCCAACCCTAAAAGGATGATTTAAGTTCTGTGTGCATACAATCACCTTGGTTCTTATTTAAATTCAGATTCTCAGGTCCAGGTGTTCTATCTCAGGAGGCCCAGGAATGCATTTTTTACTTCTTGTATTTTTATTGATATATCATAGTAGCAAATATTTTGGGGGCTTGTGATATTTTGATATATGTATACAATGTGTCATGATCAATCAAGTTAATTGGGATGTGCGTCACCTCATTTTTTCTTTGTACTGGGAACAATTTTTCTCTTCTAGCTATTTTGAAATATAAATTACTGTTAACTATAATTCCCTACTTACTATCAGATTCCCTACTATCAAATACTAGAACTTATTGCTTCTATCAAACTGTAATTCTGGACCCATTACAGGAATGCTTTTATTTTTTTTGAGACGGAGTCTCACTCTGTTGCCCAGGATGGTGTGATCTCAGCTCACTGCAACCTCCACCTCCCAGGTTCAAACGATTCTCCTGCCTCAGCCTCCTGAGTAGCTGAGATTACAGGCGCGCGCCACCATGTGCCTGTATTTTTAGTAGAGACAGGGTTTCTCCATGTTTTCCAGGCTGGATTCAAACCCCTGACCTCAGGTGATCCGCCTGCCGTGGCCTCTCATCTCAAAGTGCTAGTATTACAGGTGTGAGCCACCGAGCCCGGCTTTTTTAAGATGAGATCTCACTCTGTTGCCCAGGCTGGAGTGCGGTGGTACAAACATGGCTCACTGCATCCCCAACCTCCTGAACAACTAGGACTAGAAGCGCACCACCACGTCTGGCTAGTTTTTTAATTATGTGTAGAGACGAAAGCTCACTATGCTGCCCAGGCTGCTTAAACTCCTGGGCTCAAGCAATCCTCCTGCTTTGGCCTCCCAAAATGTTAGGATTACAGGCGTGAGTCACTGTGCCCAGCCAGGAGTGCATTTTAAATGAGAACTCCAGGTGATTTTGATGGAGATGGTCTTGTGTGTTTTGTAATGGCTTTGAGATATCATCCACATACGACGCCTCCATTTAAAGTGCACAATTCAATGATTTTTCATATCTTCAGAGTTGTGCAGCCATCACTACAATCAATTTTAGAACATTTTTGTCAGCCCCAAAAGAAACCCCATACTCCCTGTCACCCCTCAATTCCCCCATCCTCTCCGGGTTCTGGCAACCACTAATCTCTTCTGTCTCTGTGGATTTGCCTATTCTGGACATCACATATAAACGGAATCATATGATATGTGGCCGTCTGTGTCTGGCTTCTTTCACTCAGCATAAGGTCTTCAAGGTTCATCCACGTTGTAGCACCTGTCAATGCTTCATTCCTTTTCATGACTAAGTAATATTCCACAGATAAACCACATTTTGTTTATCCATTCACGGGTTGATGAACACTTGGGTTGATTTCACCTTTTGGCTCTTATGAATAGTGCTGCTGTGAACACTAGAGTACAAGGGTCTGTTTGAATCCCTGTGACAACCTCATTTTGACACCCATGGACACAGTGGCTGGGGAGTCATTCTCCTTTCTGTATGCATCACTTTCAGAGCAGGGACAAGGGGAGTGAGTACAGGGAATCACTGGATGAGGAAGTTCTATACGTGCCAGTAACTGTACAGCTTCCCTCAAAGTATCTCATGTAACTGTCATGGCCAAAGACAGAGGCTTGGGCAATTAATCACACTGTGTTGCCAATGTAGAAACAGAGACTCACAGAAGCTCAAATCACTTACTTGAGTTCACATGGTCCGCAGGTGACACAGCCCTGGTGGGTCCAAGCCCCTGACCCACGAAGCAGTGATACTTCTCACAGGTGCCTATCTCCACCGGGGGTTACCTGGCTGGCAAAACAGGAAGAAAATGCAAAATCCATTTCTTCCATCTGCTGAATCAGATGGCCACAATTTAGCTTCCAGTAATGACCAAGGAATTCCCCTTTGCAGAGTACTAAGCACTTTCTAGATTCTATAAACCTTGCTGCCTCCTAAGACAACACTACAGAATGTGCATTCTTCACATCTCTGTTATGAGCACAAGGAACTGAGGCTTGGCAAAGCGACCCCAGGCTGCCACACTGGTTCTCAAATGGTTTTGTGCCATAGGATTCCTTGTGTAAAAGGGGGCCCAGGAACCTGCATTTTAACAAGGATTGGCCGGGTGCGGTGGCTCACGCCTGTAATCCCAGCACTGTGGGAGGTTGAGGTGGGTGGATCACTTGAGGTCAGGAGTTCAAGACCAGCCTGGCCAACATGGCAAAACCCTGTCTCTACTAAAAATACGAAAATTAGCCAGGAGTGGTGGTGCACACCTGTAATCCCAGCTACTTGGGAGGCTGAGGCAGAAGAATTGGCCCAACCCAGGAGGCAGAGGTTGCAGTAAGCCAAGGTCACGACACTGCACTCCAGCCTGGGCAACAGAGTGAGACTCTGTCTCAAAAAACAAACAAGGACTGCACCGGGAAAGGGACAGTTAAGAGCCCCCTTGGACTAAGGTGCTAGCTTCTCATGGCCTCACTGTCCCTGGATACCTGCAGGAACAGACTCCACACTCAGGTGGAAGGAGGGGGATCCTTCCCAAAGGGCCACCTCTGTGACCACAAAAGGGCACAGACCGGGAGGAAAAGCTATGACTTAGCTGTCCCCTCGGCTGTCTGGCCTCCAGGCAGGCCCACACCTCCAGTGTGCTAGTAAGTGACAGAGCTGGAACTGAATGCTGAGTTGGCCACCTTTGGGGGACCATGAGCTGCCCCACGGGGCGATGCAGCTGGCTGTGGAGCTGTGAGCCAATCTCAGCACCTCATTCACCCCGGCACCTCCCCATCCAGGGAGGCCCAGCCCCAGCCATCTCCTCCCTCCCCCACTTCCCTCCTGGGATGACTGCAATAACCAATGAGACCCGGCTGAGTGCCTGGGAGGCAGGGATGATAAATATATGTTGGGGTTCACAGTTGGTGCAGTTGATAATTTGGGGCTTACTTGGGAAAGCAGGCAGCAGGCACCTACCATTTTGACCGGCTGGGGCAGGCAGCCGGGGTGGGAGACTGTAGAGGTAAGAGGTGGGGCCTGGAGCCCTGAGGCCCCCCAGCCCTGCCTGGCCACGCTGACTCAGCAGAGCTCAGAACCTACTCTCCGCTGACAAGGCAAGCGTGCTCTTCCCAGCTGGCCGCTCTCAGCTGTCTCTTCAAACCCTCCCAGGAGGGCTGCGGAGAGCAGACACGGGAACCACACCTGGCTTCTTACCTTCATGCAGGAAAACAAGGAGTGGGATGTGAACAAAAGGCGGGAGGCTTCCCAGCTGCCCTTTAAGTAGAAGCTTCATCTGTGCCAAGGAGACCATGTGGTTAGTGGGTAGGGGAGAAAAATGCTTTGAGGGTTTCTGGGTCCCAGCTGCCTGCACAGGCGGGTGAAAGTCCTGCACCAGGTTTGTTGTTTTGACCTGATATAGGACCCTTCTAGGGGAGAAAATCTGGAGAGAAGTTCTCCCTCCCTCCCTCCTTTCCATAGGAGCTGAACAGCTGAACTTCTACTGAAGCCGGGGAACTCAAGGCAGGGCTGACAAGCCCCTTGTAATTGGCTAGTTCTACCCTCTCGTTTCCCTTCCTTTTTTTTTTTTTTTTGACAGAATCTCACTGTGTCACCCAGACTGGACTGCAGTGGTGGGATCTCAGCTCACGGCAACTTCCGCCTCCCAGGTTCAAGCAATTCTCTGGCTTCAGCCTCCCAAGTAGCTGGGATTGCAGACGTGCACCACCATGCCTGGCTAATTTTTGTATTTTTAGTAGAGATGGGGTTTCACCATGTTAGCCATGCAGGTCTCAAACTCCTGACCTCAGGGGATCCACCCACCTTGGCAAAGCGCTGGGATTATGGACGTGACCCATCATGCCTGGCACACACCCTCATTTTCACAGAGGAAGAAACAGAAGCTCATAGTGGTCACCCATCAAGGATATAACTGGCTGGATCTAGATCAGGTCCTGAGACTCAGACAGGGGCACAGGGGGACTCTGCAAGGGTGGATTCGGTCAGGTTCTCCAGCATTCTGGTATGAAAAGGCAGGTTCCTGTCTGGGCGTGGTGGCTCAGGCCTTTAATCCCAGCAGTTTAGGAGGCCGAGGCAGGCAGATTACCTGAGGTCAGGAGTTCAAGACCAGCCTGGGGAACATGGTGAAAACCCGTCTCTATTAAAAATACAAAAATTAGTTGGGCATGGTGGTGGGCACCTGTAATCTCAGCTACTTGGGAGGCTGAGGCAGGAGAATCACCTGAACCCAGGAGGCAGAGGTTGCCGTGAGCCGAGATCACGCCACTGCACTCCAGCCTGGGCGAAGAGCAAAACTGCATCTCAAAAAAAAAAAAAAAGGGCTGGTTCCTGGAACCTGTTGAGAGAGAACTACTGAGCTGGCTCCTCTGTACATTCAAATCTGAGAGCCCCTGCTCTAGAGACCTGGACAGCTCTGGGGTCAAGTCCTGTCTTTGGCCTTAGGCAAGTGACTTCACCCCTCCAATCCTTGGTTCCCGTCTATGGCCCGTGAAATGGGCACACAGATTTTACATGAAGTGCTGCCATATGGAAGGTGCGCAGTAACAGACGAGTGTGACTCTGGTCATTGGCCGGCTCGGGGCCTGCTGCTCCAGGTGCAGTTGCTGGGCCTGGCCGGGACTCAGTGGGGAATGATGGCCTCTCAGGAGGCTCCCTGCACAAGCTGACGTGCATGGGGCAGAAAGTCCGCAGAGATTAGTTGTTCTCAGGTTGTGTGCTGCAGGAGATGGGGAGGACAATTTGGTGCCTGTCTCCTGGGGGCAGGTCCCAGCCCCTCAGAAGGAAGAAGCATAGACAGGCCTGAATATTTATGAAGCCTGGGGCTCAACCCCAGCCACAGATATCACAGGGTGAAGAGTGGGCCTGTCCATTTCTAGGTGGAGGAAGGTGGGTGTGGATACGCATGAACTCAGCACTTAGGCACCCCTGTGGGTAGGTCAGCAGGAGGTGGGGAGGGTCCCAGGAGCAGGGGCGCCTACAGGAGGCATCCTTCCCAGGACCTCAGTCAGAGGTGCAGGGGCAGAACTGAGGACAGATGGGATTACTGCAAAGTTCCCTTTCCCTCTGTCTCTGTCCACAGAGCATGGTGGAACGGGGGATACCTTCACGCCACTCACACTGAGGCTTCATTTCCTATCCAGGAGGACGCAGACAGAAGGCCCATGGCTTTGGATCAGCCTTGACATTCAGAAGTCAAGGACAATAGAGTTTTCTCGAGATGCATATATGTTTAGAAGCAGCAACATGAAGCTAAAGTCTCTTTCTGGAGGACTCAGGAGTGAGAGCCCTCTGTCTACTGCGGTACGGAGAGAGCCCAGGTGCAGAATGAACCAGAGCGGCCGTTCTTGAACCTGGCCTCACATTAGAACCACCTGGGGAGTATGTAGAACGCCTGATGCTCAGGCCACACCCAGACCCCATGTGAATGAAGGCTGAGGGGTGGGAAGGGCAGCATCAGTACTGTTTTTATTTTTATTATTATTTTTTAATGTTTAAAAATTTTTTTTTTTGAGATGGAGTTTTACTCTGTCGCCCAGGCTGGAGTGTAGTGGCATGATCTTGGCTTACTGCAACCTCTGTCTCCTGGGCTCAAGTGATTCTCCTGCCTCAGCCTCCTAAGTAGCTGGGATTACAGGTGTGCGCCACCATGCCCAGCTAATTTTTTTTTTTTTTTTTGTATTTTTAATAGAGGCAGGGTTTCACCATGTTGGCCAGGCTGGTCTCGAACTCCTGACCTCAAGTGATCCACCTGCCTCGGCCTCCCAAAGTGCTGGGATTACAGGAGGGAGCCACCACACCTAGCCAGTGCTGTTTTTAAATCCCCCAGGTGATTCCAAAATGCTGTCAAGTTTGACAACAGACCATTGTCTCTACCCCAGCTGCAAAAGAGACCAACCTGGAGAGCTCTAATCCCAGGCAGATGAAATTAGAATCTTTGGGGGGGTAGTAGGGGCCCAGGTGGTGGTGTCTGTAAAGGGTATATACAGGGTAGAGAATCACAAATCGAATCAACCCAGTGGTGTGATTCTGCACCACCTGGCATGGTGTGTGTCTGAGTGTGTATGTGCGATAGTGTGTTCTCGGAGAGTCCTGGTGTGTGACCTTGGGCTGAGATTAGGCACTTGGCAGCTGCGCTGAAGCCGTAGCTCATTAACCCCCATAACCCAGGGACGAGAGTGGTGCATTAGCCAGGAGCAGCTCACAGGTGGCACCTGCACAACGGCTCCTCCGAGGCTGCCTGTCGCTTGCCCATCTCTGCCTCTTTCAACTCAGGTTGCATTTAGGGCCTCACAGGGAAGAAACGTTTCCTTTCCTCAGTAAATCAGTCTGGAGCTGTTCTTTGGGACAACACTGGTAAAGGAAACCTTAGGAATTTTGGTGAATGCAGCGTGGCCCTGGGCAAGTCACTTCTCTGTAGCACTTCCTTTATTTATTTATGTATTTATTTATGTATTTATTCATTACTATTTTAGATGTAGTTTCACTCTTGTTGCCCAGGCTGGAGTGCAGTGGCACAATCTCGGCTCACTGCAACCTCCACCTCCCGGGTTCAAGCGATTCTTCTGCCTCAGCCTCCCAAATAGCTGGGAGTAAAGGCACACGCCACCATGCCCAGCTAATTTTTTTGTATTTTTAGTAGAGACAGGGTTTCACCACATTGGCCAGGCTGGTCTCCAACTCCTGACTTCAGGTGATCCACCTGCCTTGGCCTCCCGAACTGCTGGGATTACAGGTGTGAGCCACCGTGCCCAGCCCTTTATTTTTATTTTATTTCATTATTATTTTTTGAGATGGAGTCTCACTCTGTCACCCAGGCAGGAGTGCAATGGTGTAATCTCAGCTCACTGCGCCCTCCACCTCCCCGAGCTCAAGTGATCCTCCTGCCTCAGCCTCCCAAGTAGCTGGGACTACAGGCGTGTGCCACCACATCCAGCTAATTTTTTGTATTTTTAGTAGAGACGGGGTTTCACCATGTTTGCCAGGCTGGTCTCGAACTCCTGACCTCAAGTGATCTGCCCGCCTCAGCCTCCCAAAGTGCTGGGATTACAGATGTGAGCCACCACACCTGGCCTGTGCTTCCTTTCTTTAAAGAAGATAAAAGACGAATCTCCTCTTGTCCTCTTGTCACAATGCATGTGAGTAAGCGTACTGGGCTCTCTGAAAGTCAGCTGTGATGAATTTTTAAAAGATGACCTATCCACAGATGCGGTGCTCACACCTGGAATCCCAGCACTTTGGGAGGACTGCTTGAGACCAGGAGTTCGAGACCAGCCTGGGTAACATAGCAAGACCTCCATGTCTACAAAAAAAAAAAAATAGCTGGGCAAGGTGATGTGGGCCTGTAGTCCCAGCTATTCAAGAGGCTGAGGTGGGAGGATCGCTTAACCTGGGAGGTCAAGGCTGCAGTGAGCCGTGATGGTCCCACTGCACTCCAGCCTGGGCAACAGAGCAAGACCGTGTCTAAAGAAAAAAAAATGACTTATCAAGCTTCTATGTGGTGTAAGAAGGTAAAACCCCACTGCAGAAAGAGGGAAACTGAGGCTCATGGAGCAAAGTTTAGTGGAGCCAGGGTGCAATGTCAAAATCATGGGCAGCCATGACACCTCTTGAAAATCTCCTATGGTGACCACAGAGTATGGCACTCAGAGCTTTATGTGCCTAACCAGGTACAGGAAATTATGTGTACTATGGATGGTCAAATGCCCAGGAATGTACTGTGCATAAGAGCCTGCCTATGGCAAGTAATAATCTGAAACAGTATTTTTGTAGTTTTTTAAGAGACAGGGTCTCCCTCTGTTGCCCAGGCTGGAGTGCAGTGGTGCCATCGTGTCTCACTGCAGTCTCCACCTCCCAGGTTCAAGTGATCTTCCCACCTCAGCCTCCTGAATAGCTGGGACAACAGGCCCGCACCACATTGCCCAGTTGTTTTTTTTTCATGTTTTATAGAGATGGGGTCTAGCCTTATTGCCCAGGCTGGTCTCGAACTCCAGGCCTCAAGCAATCCTCCTGCCTTGGCCTCCCAAAACATTGGGATTACAGGCATGAGCAACCGGGCCTGGCCTAAACGCGTATTTTTTATTGACTTTATATGACATTTATTTTTCCAGTTTTATTGATTTATAATTGACAAAAATTGCATATATTTAGGGTGTATATTGTGATATTTAAATATATGTCTATAAGTGAAATGATTATAATAGATAATTATTTCTATGATAATTAACATATCCATTAATATATCCATTTCAAGATAATTCACGTATCTATCCCCTTATATGCTATTTGTGTGTGTGGTAAGAACACTTGAGATCTAGTCTCTTAGCATATTTCAGGTGTACATTATTACTAATTACAGTCACTAATACAGGCCTCAGCCACTATTCTTAGTCTCAAGAACACACCTCCGCCATGCTACTGTGATCACTAGGTCTCTAGCACTTATTCATATTATGCTGAAGGTTTGTATCCTTTGACCAATATCTCTCCTCTCCCCCTGCCCCAGCCCCTGGTAACCAACATTCTACTGTCTGCTTCTATGAGTTGGACTTGCTTAGATTCCACACATAAGTGAGGTAATGCAGTGTTTGTGTTTCTATGTCTGCCTGATTTCAGTTAGAAAAATATCCTCCAGGTTCAGCCACAGTTTTGAAAATGGCAGGATCTCCCTCTTTTTTTTTTTTTTTTTTTTTTTTTGGAGACAGAGTCTCGCTCTGCCCCCCAGGCTGCAGTGGCACAATCTCGGCTCACTGCCACCTCCGCCTCCCAGGTTCAAGCAATTCTCCTGCCTCAGCCTTCCGAGTAGCTGGGACTACAGGCATGCGCCACTATGCCCAGCTAATTTTTGTATTTTTAGTAGAGATGGGGTTTTGCCATGTTGGCCAGGCTGGTCTCAAACTCCTGACCACAGGTGATCCACCTGCCTCAGCCTCCCAAAGTGCTGGGATTACAGGCATGACCACTGTACCTGGCCAAGGATCTCCCTCTTTTTGAAGGCTGAATAATATTCCTATGTGTGCGTTTCACATTTTCTTTATCCATTCATCTGTCGATGGACACTTAGGTTGTTTATCTTGGCTACTATGAATGATGTTGCAATCAACATGGAAGTGTAGCTATCCATTCAAGAAACTGATTTCATTTCCTTTGGGTAGATGCCCAGAAGTGGAATTGCTGGATCCTATGATAGTTCTATTTTTAATTTTTTGAGGAACCTCCACACTGTTTTCCACAATGGCTATACAAATTTGAAACAGCGTTTTAAGTTACCCATTTAAACTGTTACCCTTTCCTTCTTCCCTCACCCCCCACCCCACATCTCTCTAATATCTCCACTAAAAGCTCACAGCTCCTGGTAGGGACCACGATTTAACCTTGGCTTGACTTAATCTTTGCCCTCTATCCCCATAATTTATTTCCAGTCCAGAAAAAAGCCAGTGGTCACCTGTTGGGATTTTGGGCAAGTTCTGGGTTGAAATTCTCCTTCTTGTAGATTACAAGAGTTCTAGGCCAGGCGCGGTGGCTCACGCCTGTAATTCCAGCACTTTGGGAGGCCGAGGCACATGGATCACCTGAGGTCAGGAGTTTGAGACTAGCCTGGCCAACATGGTGAAACCCAGTCTCTGCTAAAAATACAATTAGCTGGATGTGGTGGCACATGCCTGTAATCCCAGCTACTCAGTAGGCTGAGGCAGGGGAATCACTTGAACCCAGGAGGAGGAGGTTGCAATGAGCCGAGATCGCACCACTGCACTCCAGCCTGGGCGTCAAGAGTGAAACTTCATCTAAAAAAAAAAAACAAAGAGTTCTAGAGTTCTAAAACTGTGATGTGCATAACATTCCCCTGGAGCCTCTGGTGTCGCAGGAAGGGTTGGGGACTCTGGGGTCAGTACCTGTTAGAAACCCCCAGGTGATGGTGAGGTTGGGGTGAGCAGGATGGCAAAATACTCTGCCCCCCACTGCTGGGAAAGGGATCTAAATCCAAGGGCCGCTCAGGGACTTCGCAGCCCCTCCCCTGTGGGCCTCTGCTCTTTGTCCCCATCCTATTGTTAAGGCCAGATGGCCACCCTTCAGCAAATAGTGGGAGGTGGAAGTGGCAGATTAGAGACCTCTAGACTCCAGCTAAAGCCTGCTCGTTGGGGGTCACCCATCCCTGTCCCACGCCTGCCTCAGCGTCCAGGCTGAGTGCCGCCCTCTCTGGAGGAACCAGGGTGGGCCACCTCAGTGAACCGGGGTGAACCGGCAGCTGTGGCTGAGCCAGGAGAAAACTCACACTCCCTCCAAGCTGCTGCTGCTGCTGGCTGGAAGCAAGGCTGGGATGCTCTGATGTCACCAGAAAGCGCCTCCTGTCAGGCCTCAGCCACTATTCTTAGTCTCAAGAACACACCTCCGCCTGTTAGAAGTCTCTCGACTTCAACAAGCTCTTTATAAATAACTTAGAAACTGGTAGTGTGCAGGGCTGCTGGCTAAGAACTTCTTTCTTTTATGCAAGATGTTCCAAGGGCCTCAGTGGTAGGCACACCTCGCTCCCGGGGAGCCCTGTAAATGTTATGATCTCAGGAACGGACGCTTCCATCCATGGGTGCTGCTGGCCCAGCTGTGCGCTAAGTGCCAAGCAGTTTCACAGGCAGTTCCAGAGCAGCTGGACGACCTGGATTCAAATCCTGGCTCTGCCACTTCCTGTGTGAGCTTGGGAAAGTCGCTTTGCTTCTCCTTGCCTCTTTGACTGCATCTACAAAACCAGGGCAATGAGAGTTGCGACAGCCCTGGGCTGTAGCAAAGAAGAAAAGAACTGAAACACACCAAGTGCTTAGAACAGCACAAGCCAGCAGCCGCCTGGGTGTCTGCCACTATCTTACTGTTGCTACTGATGTCCTTAGGAAGCACTTGTCCAGGAGAGACCTTTATCTCCATTTTATCCACAGGAAACAGAGACTCCTGCCCTCAGGTTAAATGACTGGCCTCATTCACCCGCCCTGTTGGTAGCCAAAGCAGGACTTGAACCCTAGTCTATTCCACTGGGAATCTCACGGTAAATTATAAAACTCTGCTGCCCCCTAGAGCATGAGGAGGGATCAGGCACAATCAAGACTAGCGGGGCTTCTCACCTGTGGGAACCTGTGACCAGCAGGAAAATCACTCCCTGGACACTGCTGGGGGAGCCACCCTCCTCCACCATCCTCCTCCAACATCTTGAGACCTTGGGCAGCTCAGTGCCCCCTCACTGAGCCTCAGTTTCTTCATCAATAAAATGGGTTTATAGTAACAGCATCTACCCTGTAGAGTAGTATGACAATTAAAGGACATGAGCTTTTAGGCCAGCCGCAGTGGCTCACACCTGTAATCCCAGCACTTTGGGAGGCAGACACAAGTGGATCACTTGAGGCCAGGAGTTCGAGACCAGCCTAGGCAACATAGAGACCCTGTCTCTACTAAAAATACAAAATGTAGCTGGGTGTGGTACCCTGTGCTTGTAATCCCAGCTATTCGGGAGGCTGGGGCATGAGAATAGCTGAACCCGAGAGGCAGGGGCTGCAGTGAGCTGAGATCGCACCACTGCACTCCAGCCTGGGCGACACAGCGAGACTCTGTCTCAAAAAAAAAAAAAAAAAAAAAAAAGGACGTGAGCTTTTATAAAGGCACCCTCTCCCATTTTTTTCTCTGGCCACATTGGGGTGAGTCCCATCAGCTTCCTGGATAAGGCAGGCCCCCTCCAAGACCAGCTGACCTCTCCAAGATGTGCCAGGGCTGCGGTCGCTCACGTCTCCCTCCAGGTCACCTTGGGGACTTCTCAAAACTTCATCTTTGGCACAGATTCCCTGGTGACTTGAGCTGGTTGTTTATGTGCATAAATGTCCCCTTACCCCACTGATGGACGTTGAGGTTCTTCTGATGTCCTCCCCGAGCAGGTGTTCCAGCAGGGTAACTGCTGAACCTGATGTTTCTTCTCCTCCCCCTCACCACCCACCCACCCCTAGTCATTGTGGAGCCACTCACTTGGCATGGAGAAGCACCATCTGGTGGCTTTTTCCAGGCGTTTTCCATATTTGCTATGGGACACCACGCTTGGTTGAATTCACAGGAGGGCCAATGCCTCTGGGGGCCTGGAGTGACGTGCTGGTTCCAGGAGGGAGTCAGGAATAGGAGATCTCCATTTCTCGTGTTAACACTTCCTTGCCAGGCCCCTACCAGACAATGTAAGAGGAGGAGCTCCAATGTGATGCAATCGACAGAGGGGTGCATCCTGCTCAGAAGGCAGGGGAGGCTGGGCGCGGTGGCTCACGCCTATAATCCCGGCACTTTGGGAGACCAAGGCAGGTGGATCACTTGAGGTCAGGAGTTCGAGACCAGCCTGGCTAACATGGTGAAACCCCGTCTCTACTAAAAATATAAAAACTTGCCAGGCATGGTGGTGGGCACTTGTAATCCCAGCTACTCGAAAGGCTGAGACAGGAGAATGGCTTGAACCCGGGAGGCGGAGTTTGCAGTGAGCCAAGATCGCGCCACTGCACTCCAGCCTGGGGGACAGACCAAGACTCCATCTCAAAAAGTGGGGGGGAAGGCAGGGGAAAGCAAACAGTATGCCTGGGCTAGTAATTTATTCATCAGACTAGAATGAATTCCCTTCACCTCACTTTTCCCCCCTCTCCTGTTGGTGCATCCTACAAAGGCCAGTTTTTAAGTTCTCCTTTTTGGAAATCTCCCACTGTCCTCAACTCAGCAGCCTTTTCCTTCTCTGAAATGCTACAAGAGTAAGAGTAACAGGAAGCCGGGGGCTGCAGGATCTGCGGGTGCTATGGAACAATGTATCTATGGGTCATGTCCTTTGCGGAGGTGGTGGGGGAAGAAGTCAGGAGAGAAGGAAGCAGTAAAGGCAGATGGCACATTCACTGGTAAGGCTAAGAGGAAAAGGGAGGCCTGAGATTCACAATAGGGAAGAATTAGGATTTCTGTCATCAGACCCAGGGAATCTGGACTTTGAGAGTACTGCCCCACATGGAGGGAGAAAGGGCCTTGATATCTGCCATCAGCACAGTGACTATAATTAGGGCTCAGCTGAGGTCCTTGAAAAAAATCCATTCTTCCTTCCTGGCCAAGTAGCAATTTGCAGCGTTGTGTACTTGGTGGGCACCGCCAAGTTTCTCAGGATGGCACAGTGTATTCCTTAGTCAGAATCTTTAACCCCAGAAGGTTTAGCATTAAGTACAGAAAGGATGAAGTAATGCAAAGTCATAGCTTCCTTTTTTTTTTTTTTTTGGTCCTGTATTATATTGAAAAGTAATCTACGTATATTGGTATACTTTTCTATTTTAAGGGTTTGAAATGTTTAAGAGAATTTGGCATCGTCTAACAGAAAGGCCTTGTGATTCCAATTTCAAATGAATTGAGTAATCAGTTATGGCCAGATATTTTTGTAAATTGTGGTAAAATATACATAACATAAAACTGACCATCTTAACCATTTTCAAGTGTGCAGTTCGGTGGTAGTAAGTATATTCACATTGTTGTGTCAGCCAGATTTTAAGCTGGAAGTTATATGAGAACTTAATATTAAGTTTGTAAACAGAACACTACTCTTTAAGAGAACTTAAAATTTGCATATTTAAAGTTCAATTTATTAGATGTATAAAAATTCATAATGAAGTACTTAGGAAGGTTCTGAAAAGTGCTTAAGAAGAAATCAAATATATTAAATTCATTAGTATACTTAAAGTATTTAAGGGAATTTATTGAAGTGGCTTTAAAAAACCCTTTAAAAGGCTGGGCACGGTGGCTCATGCCTGGAATCCCAGCACTTTGGGAGGCCAAGGCGGGCGGATCACGAGGTCAGGAGATCGAGACCATCCTGGCTAACACGGTGAAACCCCGTCTCTACTAAAAATACAAAAAATTAGCCAGGTGTGGTGGCGGGCACCTGTAGTCCCAGCTACTCGGGAGGCTGAGGCAGGAGAATGGTGTGAACCCAGGAGGCGGAGCTTGCAGTGAGCCAAGATCACGCCACTGCATTCCAGCCTGGACGACAGAGTGAGACTCCATCTCAAAAATAAAATAAAAAATAAATAAATACATATTTTTAAAAAACTATAAAGTATCCCCTGAATAATCTTTCACAAAAGGCTTTGAGAGCTGAATGTGGTGGTGCTCACCTGTAGTCCCGGCTACTCCTGAAACTGAGGCAGGAGGATCATCTGAGCCCAGGAGGCCACCCTGGGCAACATAGTGTCCCTGTCATCAGATCCAGGGAATCCGGGCTTTGAGAATACCACCCTACGTGGAGGGGAAAGGGGCCTTGAAATCTCACTATAATTAGGGTTTACAATCTCACTATAATCTCATCAGCACTGTAGTTGGTTTTTTTAAATTTTTTTTTAAAAATGGAAAGCCATTAAGGCCACCAGTACCCCATGCTGACAAATCAAACCATTTGTATATAAAATACCTCATGACTGAGTGGTTCCCAGACTTGAGTGTGTCTCTCAGAAGCCCTTGGAGGACTTATTAAAATACATGTCACTGAGCTCCAGCACCGGAGCTTCTGATTCAGTGGGGCTGGGTTCAGAAATCTGCATTCCTGACGAGTTCTCAGGTGATTGCAGTTGGTCTAGGAAGAGACTTTGAGAAGCACTGTGCTAAACGCAGAGAGGTAGTGTGTTCCCACCATCATTCTCCGTTATCTGAGCTGCCTTTCTTTGGGCCTTGATTCCCCTATCTCTAACGTGAGAATAACATAGTAGCACTTACCCTGCGGGGCTGCTGGGAGGATGAGAGATATATATGTGAAGTGCCTGGCACGTGCTGGGCTCACTGTGTGTGGTAAATATGTGATATGGTTTGGCTGTGTCCCCACCAAAATCTCACCTTGAATTGCAATAATCCTTGTGTCGAGTGCAGGGCTGGGTGGAGATAATTGAATCATGAAGGCAGTTCCCCCACACTGCTCTCGTGATAGTGAATAAGTCTCATGAGATCTGATGGTTTTATAAATGGGAGTTCCCCTGCACAAGCTCTCTTTCCTGCTGCCATGTAAGACGTCCCTTTGCTCTTCCTTCATCTTCCACCATGATTGTGAGGCCTCCCTAGCCATATGGAACTGTGAGTCTATTAAACCTCTTTCCAAGTTACCCGGTCTCAGGTATGTCTTTATTAGCAGCATGAAACGGACTAATACAATATGACTCCATTACCGTTACATGCCCAACATGGCTACATAGCCTGGGTGTCTTTTATATGTTCCATGCACCTAGCATACTGCTATGCACTTGGTAGGAGCTCAAAAAATATGAATGTAGGTAGAGTGAGTTCCAGGCAAAGGAAACAGCCTGTGCAATGGCCCAGAGGCAGGAGGGTGTAGGGAAGTCAGGGAGCCTCTAACTTGTGGCAGAGGCAGAGTCTGTGTGCAGGAGGGTAATACACTGTGCTTAAAAGTTTGGACTTTGTTCTAAGGGCAACAGGAAGCCATCAAGCAAGGGAGTCATTCCAAGAGATACAGATTTTAGAAAAACCAGGTAGGAGGCAGGTGAACTTGCCAAGGCAAGAGACAGTGGTGGCTTGGACCAGGGTGGTGGCAGTGGGGAGGCACAGAGGTCCAGTGTGGTCCCTAGAGCAGGACAAGGTGATGGATGAACCTTGAAGGGTGAGAGAAGGGGTGAGCCCCAGGGCTCATTTTGATGAACGAGAAAGAGTTTTATCTGCATTCAGGAACTCAACGGACTCCCTTAGGGCATTTGCCAGAGTGTGAGGCCAAATAACTGATTTCCTTCCTAAGACCCTGCCAGTCTACTCAGTGAGTCAACCTCCTCCGGTGTTAGAAACAGCCACCAATGTAGAAATGGCAAGTTGCTCGCAACCTGGATGGTTCTAGGCCTACGTGGGCATAGCTGGTCCTGATCCATGGGCAGCAGGAGGAGAGTCCAGGTTTGGTCTACAAACAATAGCCCCAAGGCAGTATTTCTGAAGCCATGGCCCCTCTCCCAGCCTGCTGTGTTCTTGTGGATTGCTGGCACATTCCACCAAGGCAGTAAGGCATGGCCAAACACCTCATATCCCATCCTGAACCCCCACACCTCACTGGGCCACCAAGAGGCAGGGGCATTTTAATTTAAAATGAAAGGACAGCAGACCATCTCCAGGCAAACCAGTGGGCTCCAGACAGATACGAGGCTTCTGAAGCAGGGAGAGGGAAGTGAATCTTGAAAAGAATAGATCAAGGGGTTGGGAGGGGAGACACATCTCCCCCAGCCTTTGATCTGTGCAGCCCAGCAATGACAGAAGTAGTAACACAAGCTGGGAACACATTTTGCTTTCGTATGACTCACTCAAGAAAGGAAAATGGAAAATTACCACTCTCCTCTCTCTCTTTCCCAAATAGGAACAGGTGCTCTTCCTTGGTGGGGAAGAGCCTAGGTGTGCGACCTGCTGGCAGGATACCTGGGCCATCTCGTGCAGCCACTGGCTCCTTCCTCGCTCTCTTGGTGCTCCCTGTTCAACAGAGGCTTTTCCAGGCAGGGTGCAAA
Organism: Homo sapiens; assembly: GCF_000001405.40. Lineage (NCBI taxonomy): Eukaryota > Metazoa > Chordata > Mammalia > Primates > Hominidae > Homo > Homo sapiens. Next base: position 117,125,367 of record NC_000012.12, read on the forward strand.
CAGCCAGAGCTTAATGAGCTTTTAAGATTAGAGATGCTATTCGCCTGGGGTTGCTGTGCAGCCGAGACTGAGGGTGACTCATGCCGAATATATACTGCCTAGACAGTGACAATTCGCAGCATCTCTCACTACTAAACTACAAAATGTTGTTCCCTTGCTCTCCCTCACCCTGGGCCATCTGTTTGTCTCTATTACTGGTTACACAGTACTGTCAGGGGACTTCTGCCCCCTCCTACATGGCTCACTTCAGGGCTGCCACTCCACACATTACAAACCTACACATCTAAGACCCGGAACCAGCCCTTCTGTTCAGCAGCAACATGTCCACCCCCAGCTCCAAGCTGGGGAGCGAATTAAAGTGATTAACAAATGGTAAATGGTGCTCAACGATTTCAATGAGTAATTAAGAGAAAGAAATGGAAGACCCAGCTGCAGAGGAAATATTAGGTATTGATATATGACATTGTTATAAACTGTCACGACTGTCACCTGTCACGTCACCTGTCAGTCATGTCACATGTCACTGTCACCTGTTGTCTGTCACTGCCACCTGTTGCATGTCACCTATTACCTGAACCATCACCTGTTGTCACGTCACTGTCATGTCGCCTATCATGTCACATCACTCATCTGTCCTGACACCTGTCACCTGTCACATCACTAACGTCACGGGTCATTTGCATGTCCTTGGCATGCAACAAACATATCATGTCATTGGTATGTCACGTCATTGGCATGGCCATGTAGTAAGCACATCTTTAACATGTAAAAAGCAGGCCATCAGCATGCTTTTGCCATGGCTTCAACACATAAGCATGCCACATGTTCCTGACATGTAAGAGACATCCTTATTATGTAAGGGGTATGTCCTTAGCACGTGATGTACATGCCCTTAGCATGTACTGTGTATGTTCTTGCAACGTTCTGCCCTTGGCATGCAGTAAGCATGTCCTTAACATGTTTTAGGATGTCACCTGTCAAATGGCACTGTCACCTATCACATGTAATGTCACTGTCACGTTAGTCATGTCACCTGTCAAATGTCACATGTGACTCGTCACTGTCACACAGCACTGTCCTGAGTCACTGTCACATGTAATGTCACTGTCACATGTACCTGTCTCCTGCACTGTCATATGTCACTGTCACAAGTCACCTGTTAAATGTCACGACCTGTCATATGGTCACGTCACTGTCACATGTAATGTTGCTGTCATCTGTCACTGTCTCCTATCACTGTCATCTGTAACTGTCACATGTCACTGTCACCTGTCATGTCCTTAGCATTTCCTTACCATATTTTCAGCATGCAGTAAGCATATCAGCATGTAATAGGCATGTCCTTTGCACATCACATGTCACAGGCATGTTCAAATAGGCACATTCATGTCACATGTACTTGGCATGCACACGTCATAAATCCTTAGCATGTCACACATGTGCTTGGTGTATAATAAACATGCAACAGGCATGACCATGTTACAAGCACGTAATACAAATGTAGCATGTCAGTGGTGTGTAGGCATGACCATAGGATGCAATCAATGGGCATGTAATTGGCAGGTCCTATCATGTCAGTAGCACATAACAAGCATGCCCTTAGCATGTAATAGGTATGATCATAGTAAAAATAAGCCTGACAATACTATATAAAAGCATGTAACACACGTATGAGAATGCTACCATGTAATATGCATGACAGTGGCACGTAATTGCCACATGATAGGCATGCCTTAACGTGAGTGGCATGTAATGTGCATGCTAGTGTCATGTAAATAAGCGTGACCATAACATGCAATACGCTTGCTCTCACATGTCCTTGGTATGTAACTGGCATGTAAAAAGCATGCCTGTGGCATTATGAAGCATGCCTTAGCACATTGGTGTCACATCCTTGACATGTAATAGGCATCACCATAGCATACAATAGACATGTCTTCAAATGTCCCTAGCATACAACAGCCACGTCTTCAAATGTAGCTAGAATGCAATAGCCATGTCGGTGGCATGTAATAGGCATGACCATAGGATGCAATGGGTATGTACTTGCCATGTCCTGGCATGTCAGTAGCATGTAACAGGCGTGTCTTTAGGATGTAGTGGGTATGAGCACATAAAACAGGCATGGCCATAGTGTGTGATAAGCATGTGACATACATATTTTGTCAGCAGCGGTAACATAAATGATAGCCTGTCATTGGCACGTGATATGCATATCATCACGTCAGTGGCACATAAATATGCATGACAATCGCATGTAATAGGCATGTCTTCGCATATCCCTGGTATGTAAATGGCATGAGCATGGCACTAATAGCCATACATTCGTATGTTAGTGGCATATAAAAGACATGTTATAGGGACCCCAATAGCTATGCCTTCACGTTACTACCATGCAATAGGCATGTCAGTGGTGTGTAACATGCATGACAATACCATGTAATAGGTATACAATATCTTTGCAGGTCAGTGGCATGTAACAGGCATGACCATAGCATGTGATGGGCATACAAGTCATTTCTCTGTCAGTGACATGTAATAGGAATGACTATGGCATGTAATGGACATGTGGCACACATCTTAGCATGTCACCTGTTACCTGTTACTGTCACCTGTCACTGGACCTGTCACCAGTCATGCACTGTCACCTGTCACTGCCACCACTGTCATGTGTTACCTGTCACCATTCACATTATGGTTACCTGTCACTGTCACCAGTCACATCACTGTCACTGTCATGTCACATCACATGTCACTGTCACATCACCTGCCACATCACCACTGTCCATCACCTGTTACATATCACCCATCACCTGTCACATCTGTGACACCTGCCACATCACCTGTCACCTGTCACTGCCATGTCACTTATGTCACTGTCACATCACATGTCACTGTCACGTCACATTTCACTGTCATGTCACCTGTCACATCACCTGTCACATTTCCCTGTCACATATCACCTGTCACATCACCTGCTGTCACATCATCTGCCATGTCACTGTCACCTGTCAATGCCATGTCATCACCTGTCAAGTTAGTCACCTGTCACCTGTCACGTCATTGTCACCTGTCACGTCATTGTCACCTGTCACGTCATGTCACTCATCTGTCACTGTCAACCTGTCACCTGACTCATGCCACCTGTCAGTCACCTGTTACATGTCAATGTCACCTGTCATTGTCAACCTGTCACCTGTGACTCATCACCTGTTGTTACCCATCACTCTGACGTCACCTGTCTAATCTGTCACCTGTTCTGTCCTGTCACATTTTGCAAGAATGCTACATGTAGTTAGCATATTAGCTTGGTGCAATTCACAAGAATGCCTCCTGTACTAAGCATGTCACTGACATGTCACATGTCAGCATGTCATAAGTATTAAATGGCACATGGACGTCACTAGTATATTGCAAGTGTGTCATATGTTGCATGCATTTTTGCATGTCACATGTTGCAGGCATGTCGTGTATGTCATGCATGTCACATCATGTTGAAAGCCACATGTGGGTCACAAAGCACAACATGCATGTCATAAACATGTCACAGAGCACCTATGTCACAAACATGTCATGTTGCAGAAGTGACATGAAATGTGTCAAGATGACATGCTGCACGTCATATGCATGTTATGCCTTTCAGAATCATGCATACACACGTCATATGCACAACATAGGCTATATGGTACATGCACAACATATATATGTGATGTTACATGCAGAACATTTGCAATATACACGTTACATACATGCGTTATATACATATTACACAGAACATGTGCAATGTATATGCAGAACATAATACATGTATGACATGCAATATGTAATGTGTGTAGAACATGTGACATATACGTAATATAAATGCTATATGCACATTTATGTAATATGTGACATACACATGTGACATATGCATGGCATGTAACATGTTTAATGTGACTATATATGTAATGTGTGATGTTACATGCACATTTTATGTATGTATAATGTTATAGATACATGCTATGCATAACATAATGCTATATTTTACACATTACATGTACATAACATGTATGTTACACAACATATACGTTCTATTGTTACACGTGTATATACATATACATATACATGTGTATAATATATACATGATATATGTTACATATAAATGTTATGTGTCACACATCTATGTTAGCTGTTGATAAATACAAACACACGTATATATATGAGTCACCATCTTGAGAAACCAAGAATTCAACAGGCGATCCTCTGAAGATTTTTGCCTGTCAGCTTCTAATTCCTTCAAAGGCAAAATGATAGTATTCACACGAATAAACCATGCTGACACAATGGCACAAAGTTTGCCCTGAGCTTACCCCTCTGAGTTTCACAACTCAACCAAACTCTACCTGCTGCAACTCTGTCATAAGCAAGATCACTGAAAACCATAGACATCTCTACAGGGGAGGACTGCCTTCTTCTAGCTGTTTCCAGGGAGATGAGGATTAAAGCAAACTCAACCAGGGGAGTTGTAAAAAGCAGCTTGGGTTTTGGAGTCAGGCTGAGCTGGGTTGTGATCTGGGCCTTGTTATTCAGTAGCTGTGCTGTCTTTTGTTTTGTTTTTGAGACGGAGTCTCACTCTGTTGCCCAGGCTTGAGTGCAGGGGTGCAATCTCAGCTCACTGCAACCTCTGCCTCCTGGGTCCAAGCAATTCTCCTGCCTTAGCCTCCTGAGTAGCTGGGATTACAGGTACACACCACCACGCCTGGCTAATTTTTGTATTTTTAGTAGAGATGGGGTTTCACCATGTTAAGCTGTGCTGCCTTGGGCAAGTTACTCAACTTCTCTGGGCCCTGGTTTCCTCAGTTGTAAAGTGGAGAATTCCAGGTATATGCGGCTGGCACAGAAGAAGGGGTCAGAACAGCATGAGCTTTACACAGAGTGGAATGTTTTGTGCTTTTTGGCAAAGGGTGTCCTGTCACAGGAAGGTAAAGGTGACTTCATCTAACATTCCAGAAGGGTTTGCCTGCTGATTATGTCAGCGGCTCCAGCTCAGGCAGGAGCAGGGTATGAATGCTGACCTTGGGAGGTGGTAACTGACATGCCTCTGAGGTCTGTGGGAAAGAACAGCAAGGCTTTCCCTACAGCAGAAGCCTCATTGGAATGACAGACCCAAGCAAATGGGGTTGGATGAGCTCCTTGTTCCCCCAAGCTGCTATGGTCTAAATGGCTACTCCATGACACCTTGGCCACCTCGATTCCAAGTCACTCACCACCTGAATGGGATTATTTCACACTTGAGAGGAGAGTTACATTTGGTTCTGAAGCTGCCGATGGTGTTTTCCACATTTTGGGATATGGGTCCTGAAGGCAGGGCAGACACACCATTGTAGAGACCTGTGGCCCCAAGCTGAGCCAGCCACACAAGCCGAGAGAGCACTGGCCCAACTGGAGTCAAATGTGAATGAGCTAAGCTGAAGGTTTCAGGAACAGTCTCAGGTAAGCCCCAGCACACAGTATCTCCAGCCCTTATAAGACTCTGATCTCTCAAGACGGATGCCTTAAAGTCTCTATAATCTGGAGGCTCTTGGAGGAGTGTGATGTCTCTGTTTCTGTTATCCAGCGCTCAGAAAAAACAAAGCTCCTTGAGTCCAGAAGTGGGAGGATGGTGTTCAACAGCATTCAACAGGGCATGACAAGAGACATAGCTGGCTGGCTTTCTTTTCTCTTTTTTTTTTTTTTCGAGACAGTCTCACTCTGTCACTCAGGCTGGAGGGCAGTGGCACGATCTCGGCTCACTGCAACCTCCACTTCCTGGGTTCAAGCGATTATCCAGCCTCAGCCTCCCGAGTAGCTGGGACCACAAGGTGCGGGCCACCACACCCAGCTACTTTTTGTATTTTTTTGTAGAGAGGGGGTTTTGCCATGTTGCCTAGGCTGGTCTTAAAACTCCTGAGCTCAAAAAGATCCACTCAAAGTGGGTGGATTAAAGGCATGAGCCACCGCACCTGGCCTTGGCTTGCTCCTTATAAGAAATAGCTGTTGGCACTCATACCAATGGCTACACATCCTCAGTGGGCTGAGAGGGGCAGAAGCTTAAAGGAGGCTTAGGGGTGAGAGCATGGACATTTCAATGCATTCGTACAGCACTGGCTCATTCACACCATGAGGCAGGCGCAGAAGAGAGACTGTTATGTTCTTTGCAGATGATGTTGCTGAGTACAATCCTGTCCCATATAGAAATAAATCACAGCCCCCAGAGCGAACTTAGAGGGGCTTTTTTTTTTTTTTTTGAGACAGAGTCTCACTCTGTCGCTCAGGCTGGAGTGCAGTGGCGCGATCTCAGCTCACTGCAGCCTCTGCCTCCCAGGTTCCAGCAATTCTCCTGCCTCAGCCTCCTGGGTAGCTGGGATTACAGGCGCAAGATGCCACGCCCGGCTAATTTTTGTATTTTTTAAGTAGAGATGGGGTTTCACCATGTTGGCCAAGCTGGTCTTGAACTCCTGACCTCAGGTGATCCGCCCGCCTCGACTTCCCAAAGTGCTGGGATTACAGGCGTGAGCCACCGCGCCCAACCGATGGGCTATTCTTACACCTCAGCCCAAATCATTTATCTTAGCCATTGCAGTTTGTTGAGTCAAGGTCTTAGATACCATTAATTTAAAAAGTAAGCCCCAGCATGCTGGCTCACACCTGTAATCCCAGCATTGTGGGAGGCCAAGGTGAGAAGATTGCTTGAGCCCAGGAATTTGAGACCAGCCTGGGCAACATAGAGAGATCTTGTCTCTACAATAAATAAATAAAAATTAGCTAAGCGAGGTGGCAGGCACCTGTAGTCCCAGGTACTTGGCAGGCTGAGGTGGAAGGATCACTTGAGCCCAGGAGTTCAAGGTTGTAATGAGCTATGATCATGCCACTGTACTCCAGCCTGGGCAACAGAGTAAGACTCTCTCTGTCTCTTTTTTTTTTTTTTTTGAGATGGAGTCTCACTCTGTCTCCCAGGCTGGAGTCAAGTGGCGCGATCTCGGCTCACTGCAAGCTCTGCCTCCTGGGTTCACACCATTCTCCTGCCTCAGCCTCCCAAGTAGCTGGGACTACAGGCGCCGGCCACCATGCCCAGCTAATTTTTTTTTTTTTTTGTATTTTTTAGTAGAGACGGGGTTTCACCGTGTTAGCCAGGATGGTCTCGATCTCCTGACCTCGTGATCTGCCCGCCCTCGGCCTCCCAGAGTGCTGGGATTACAGGCATGAGCCACTGCGCCTGGCCAACTCTGTCTCTTAAAGAAAAATAAAGTAAGGAAACCGCAAGATTGTGTATGGGCCTTTATAAGTGAACTCTGCCATCCCCCTAGTCTGCCCAACTCTGTGAGGGTAGAGGATAAAGGAGCCAGTACTGACCTAAGGAAGACAGGGACGAAACGCTGATTCCGCGGGCTCCCACTGAACTTTGATTAAAAAGGATGATGCCCCTCCCTGTTAAAGCAAAGGATTTAAAGACATTGTTTCCAGCTGGGCGCAGGGGCTCATGCCTGTAATCCCAGCACTTTGGGAAGCCAAGGCAGGAGGACTACTTGAGCCCAGGAGTTTGAGACTAGCCTGGGCAACATGGCGAAACCCCATCTCTACTAAAAATACAAAAAATTAGCCGGGCATGGTGGTGCGTGCCAGTAGTCTCAGCTACTTGGGAGGCTGAGATGGGAGAATCACCTGAGCCAGAGAAGTCAAGGCTGCAATGAGCCAAGATTGCACCACCACACTCCAACCTGGGCAAGAGAACAAGACCCTATCTCAAATTAAAAAAAAAAATTTGTTTCTACCAAATTTTATATCTGTAGCAAGAGAACATTTTGGAACCCCAGCTTACCTGCAACAGCAGATATTTTGTCAGGCAGTTGCAGGGTTTGCCTTGGGCAAATGGATTTAGCGTTGAGTGATTTTTAGCTGTCTTTTCCTTTTTTTTCTTTTCTTTCTTTCTTTTTTTTTTTTTTTTGAGACAGAGTTTTGCTCGTTGCCCAGGCTGGAGTGCAATGGTACGATCTCGGTTCACTGCAACCTCTGCCTCCCGGGTTCAAGTGATTCTCCTGCCTCAACCTCCCAAGTAGCTGGGGATTACAGGCATGCGGCACCACACCTGGCTAATTTTGTATTTTTAGTGCAGGTGGGGTTTCACCATGTTGGTCAGGCTGGTCTCGAACTCCTGACCTCAGGTGATCCACCTGCCTCGGTCTCCCAAAGTGCTGGGATTACAGGCATGAGCCACTGTGCCCGGCCTTACCTGCCTTTTTCTTTGACAGCTTCTACCCTATTGATTTCAGCTATGAACACGGTGGTATTCAGAAAATTGAAGTGCTGTAAGGTTCTATGATAAAACTGGTTGATCCTCAACATCCAATTTCGTCTTATTTAGGATGCACTTTTTGCATCACTATTTTCTTAGGTATGATTGATACTGTGCTTAGGTAGGGAAGTGCCCCTGTTCTTAGGAGATGCATGCTGAAATATGTAGGAAGAAGTTTCAAGCTGCTTGAGACATTTTTGAATGGTTCAGGGAAAAAGCACACATACACTAAGAGGGAGATAAAACAGAACAACTGCTGAGTCTTGGTGGGTATCTTGGTTTCCACTACACTATTTTTTTTCAATGTTTTGATGTTGCTTAGACGTCTATTAAAAGAGCACTGTTTAAATGAACTTTACAGTAGGGGTGAGGACACTACAGCCTGTGAGCCTAACCCAATCCACGGCCTGGCTCTGGACATAAAGGTTTAAGGAACTCGCTCGTATTGCCTGTGGCTGCTTTCCCGCTACAATGGCAGAGCTGAGTCACTGCAACAGAAACCATATGGCCCGCAAAGCCCAAAATACGCACTGTCTGGCCCTTTACAGAAAAAGTGTGCCAACCCCGGCTTCAGAGGAAATCGTATTTTCAGAAGCAACTTCCTTCAGAAGTCTTTGTAGGCTTAGAATAGGTTTCCCCCAAACTTCAAGAGCACACGTTACTGAGATGGTGAAGGATAACATTTCCTCGCTTTCCTTCTACAAAGTAAATGTGATTGACAAGAGACAGTGCTGTAACTGGCCAGGAGGCTGCCATGTACAGTTAGTGAGAAAGAAATAACAAAGCTTGGCAGGGCATGGTGTCTCACGTCTGTAATCCTAGCACTTTGGGAGGCTGAGGCTGGTGAATCACTTGAGCCCAGGAGTTTGAGACCAGCCTGGGAAACACGGCGAAACCCCATGTTTACAAAAAAAAAAAAAATTTAAAAAGTAGCTGGGCATGGTGGCACATGCCTGTGGTCCCAGCTCCTCAGGAGGATGAGGCAGGAGGATCACTTCAACCCAGGAGTTTGAGGCTTCAGTGAGGCTTGATGGTGCCACTGCATTCCTGCTGGGGTGACAGAGCAAGACCCTGTCTCAAAAAAAATAAATAAAAATAAAAATAAAATAAAATAAATAATAAAAGAACAGGCTTTGAATCATTAAAGGATGATATTGTTAGCAAGACATTTTCTGTAGGACAAGAGAACCCTACACAGAAAGCAATCTGGGGCAACAGAAACACCCCTGTGGTCAAAGCCAAAGGCCCAGGCTGGGACCCAGTTCTCAGACATTGGCCAATCAAGTCACTTAACCTCTCTGGGCCTTCTTACTTGTACATGTAACATATCAGGAATGGATGCTCTAGCAGTTGATGGTTAAAGGGCTTTCAAATTCTCTAATCTTTTTTTTGTCTCGCTCTGCCACCTAGGCTGGAGTGCAGTGGTGTGATCATGGCTCACCGTGCCTCAAACTCCTGGGCTCGAGCGATCCTCCCTCCTGCCTCTGCTCCTGAATAGCTGGGATTACAGGTGGCTGCCACCACACCGCCTAATTTTAAAATATTTTTTGTAGAGATGGGGGTCTCACTATATTGCCCAGTCTAGTCTCAAACTCTTGGCCTCAAGAGAACCACTCGCTTCGGCCTCCCACAGCATTGGAGTTACAGGTGTGAGTCACCATGCCTGGCCCAGTTCTCTAATTTTGTGGCAACTATCGAGTAAATAGTTCCATACAAAAGTAGTCATTACTGCCAGGTGCGGTGGCTTATGCCTATAATCCCAGCACTTTGGAAGGCTGAGGCAGGTGGATCACATGAGGTGAGGACTTCAAGACCAGCCTGGCCAACGTGGTGAAACCCCATCTCTACTAAAAATACAAAAATTAGCCTGGCATGGTGGCACACGCCTGTAATCCCAGCTACTCAGGAGGCTGAGCAGGAATATCGCTTGAACCCAGGAGGCGGAGGTTGCAGTGAGCCGAGATCATGTCACTACACTCCAGCCTGGGTGACAGGGCAAGACTCTGTCTCAAAACAAACAAACAAAAAAAGTAGTCATTACCTAGGATGTCTTGTAATGCATTTTCTTTTTTTTTTTTTTTTTTTGAGATGGAGTCTCGCTTTGTCTCCCAGGCTGGAGTGCAATGGCACGATCTTGACTCACTGCAACCTCTGCCTCCTGGGTTCAAGCGATTCTCCTTGCCTCACCCTCCCCAGTAGCTGGGATTACAGGCGCCTGCCACCATGCCTGGCTAATTTTTTGTATTTTTACTAGAGACGGGGTTTCACCATGTTGGCCAGGCTGGTCTCGAACTCCTGACCTCAGGCGATCTGCCCGCTTCCGCCTCCCAAACTGCTGAGATTACAGGCGTGAGCAACCATACCTGACCTTATTTTTAGTAACAGATTTTAGGAGATCTGGGGTGGGTCAAGTCAATATAATAAGCAAAGATTACATATCAAAAAAAGTCTTTGGAACATACATTTTAGCCCTTATAAGTGACAGAAATGTACTTCTGCATTTACTACAGCTCCTGGCACCAAGAAAGGTGGGTACATTAAAAGGCACTGAAAGATAAGATACCAATGGTCAACCAGTGAGCAAGAACAGAGAGCAGCTGTTCCCAATACTACTGCTCAGGTGGAGCTTGCGTTTTCAAAGGGGTAATATCGCCCCCAAGGGGGAGTGAAAAAAAGTATGTGTATTTATGCTTTTAATGTATAAAGCATATATATATATATATATATATATATATATATATATATATATATATATATACACATATATAGTACATAAGCAGTTGTAGTTTATCTTTGGCATTAACATTTCATGGAGCTGTGCACAGTAGCTCAAGCCTGTAATCCCAGCACTTTGGGAGGCCGAGGTGGGCAGATCACTTGAGATCAGGAGTTCGAGACCAGCCTGGCCAACATAGCGAAACCCCGTCTTTACTAAAAGTAGAAAAATTAGGCCAGGCGCAGTGGCTCATGCCTGTAACCTAGCACACTTTGGGAGGCTGAGTTGGGTGGATCACCCGAGGTCAGGAGTTCGAGACCAGCCTGGCCAACATGGCGAAACCCTGTCTCTACTACAAATACAAAAATTAGCCAGGTGTAGTGGTGTGTGCCTGTAATCCTAGCTACTCAGGAAGCTGAGACAGGAGAATCGCTTGAACCCAGGAGGCGGAGGTTGCAATGAGCCAAGATCGTGCCACTGCACTCCAGCCTGGGCAACAGAGCAAGACTCCATCTCAAAAAAAAAAAAAAAAAAAGGAAAAGAAAAATTAGTTAGGCATGGTGGTGCACACCTGTAATCCCAGCTACTCAGGAGTCTGAGGTAAGAGAATCAAATGAACCCAGAAAACGGAGGCTGCAGTGAGCCAAGATTGTGCCATGGCACTCCAGCCTGGGCGACAGAGCAAGAATCCATCTGAAAAAAATAATAAAATTAAATTAAAAATTTAAAAAAATCATTTCATGGAGGGCTCACAGCAGCACTATTCACAATAGTTAAAAAGTGGAAATAGCTCTAATGTCCATCAGTAACTTAATAGATAAACAAAATGTGGGCTGAGGCAGGCAGATTGCTTGGGCCCAGGAGTTCCAGATCAGCCCGGGCAACATAAAGAAACCCCATCTCTACAAAACAAGCAAACAAACAAACAAATAAAAAACCAAAACAAAATTAGCTGGGCATGGTGGTGCACACCAGTGGTCCCAGCTACTCGGGAGGCTGACGTGGGAGATCACCTGAGCCCGGGAGGTGGAAGTTGCAGTGAGGCAGAGGCTGCAGTCATGTGCCACTGCACTCCAGCCTGGGCCACAATTTTTATTTCAAAAAAAAAAAATAAAATAGACCGGGTGTGGTGGCTCACACCTGTAATCCCAGCACTTTGGGAGGCCAAGGCGGGCAGATCACCTGAGCTCAGGAGTTCTAGATCACCCTGGGCAACATAGTGAAACCCAGTCTCTACTAAAAATTCAAAAAATTAGCCAGCGTGGTGGTGCGTGACTGTAGTCCCCGCTACTGGGGAGGCTGAGGCAGAAGAATCGCCTGAGCCCAGGAGGCGGTGGTTGCAGTGAGCCGAGATCGCACCACTGCACTCCAGTCTGGGCGACAGAGCAAGGCTCTGTCTCCAAAATAAATAACTAAATAAATAAAAAGAACAAAAACAAAACAATGTGGTGTATCCATACATATTTAGCCATTAAAAGGAATGAAGTGCCAATACATGCTACAAAGAGGATGAACCTTGAAAGCGTGATGCTGAGTGAAAGAAACCAGGCACAGAAGGCCACCTCGTGTGTGATTCCATGTACATGAAATGCACAGAACAGGCAAATCCAGAGACAGAAAGCAGACTGGTGGGTGCCACGGGCTGGGGGAGGGAAGAATGGGGAGTGACTGCCTAATGGGCATGGGGGTTTTATTTTAGGGTGATGAAAATGTTTTTGGAACTAGAGGTGGAGGCTGACAACATTGTACATGAAGTAAATACCAGTGATATGGTTAATTTCATATTAGATCAATGTCATCTCTGTAAAAAAAAGTCAGAACAATTTCGGGGGGCGGGGGGTGGATTAGGAAAAAAATAGCCTAAAAAGGCTCCTGGAGCAGGTAATACTGGAAAAAAGGTTGAGAAACCTTGGGGTGGAGGACAGCACAGATATTGGGCACAGAGCCCTCTGCACAGTAACAGACACAACTAAGAAAATCGTCCTACAAAAACTGGTAGATTATTAAAGAATTCTAGGATTGAGAGATTATAATAGTTTAGAAATAGGAAAACCATAACTTTCATTCAAAGTATGAATTTCTCCCAAATTCAATAACTTGAATATGAACATTTCTATAAGAATTCTTTCATTTAAAAAGTAGGTGGAGAGCCGGGCGCGGTGGCTCATGCCTGTAATCCCAGCACTTTGGGAGGCCGAGGCAGGCAGATCACTTGGGGTCAGGAGTTCGAGACCAGCCTGGGCAACATGATGAAACAGCATCTCTACTAAAAATACAAAAATTAGTCGGGTGTGGCGCCACACGCCTGTAGCCCCAGCTACTCGGGAGGCTGAGACACAAGAGCCCAGGAGGCGGAGGCTGCAGTGAGCCAAGATTGTGCCACTGCATTCCAGCCTGGGTGGTAGAGTGAGACTCTGTCTCAAAAAAAAAAAAAAAAAAAAAAGTAGGTGGAAATTCTTTTTTTCTCTTTTTCTTTTTTCTCTTTTGAGATAGTCTTGCTCCGTCACCCAGGCTGGAGTGCAGTGGCGCCATCACAGCTCACTGCAGCCTCGACCTCAAACAATCTTCCTGCCTCAGCCTCCTGGGTAGCTGGGACTATAGGCGCAAGCTATCACGCCTGGCTAATTTCTAAATTTTTTGTAGAGATGGGGGTCTTGCTATATTGCTCAGGCTGATCTCAAACTCCTAGCCTCAAGTGATCCTCCCACCTTGGCCTCCCAAAGTGTTGGGATTATACAAGCCACTGTGCCCAGCTGGAAATTCTAACCATGCAAGGATTCTATAATGAGACTACCTAGTTCATTCTCCCAAAATTTCTCCTTTCTGTATTCTATGCAACTTCCTTCCCTGCATTTACTAAATGACGTGTAGCTCTTCCCACTCTCAAAGACTTGAATCATTGTTCTCAGTTTTTTTTTCTTAATTGCACAGCCAAATAGGAAATAGAACTTCCTATGGAAATATTAGCCCACTTTAAACTTAATGATAATAATAATAATAATAAACAAAACCATTGAGAGGGGCACCACTGTATAAAAACCCTAAACTCTATGGTGTTAGCCTAGCAGTCAAGTGGCAAGGAAACACCTCCTGGGGAGGCCGGAAGGCTGGAGAGCTCTGTTTCGGGGTCAGACTTGGTAGAATTGTTGCTTTCGGTTTGCAAGGTGGAACCACTGGCCCTGCGGCCAGTCTAGAGAAAGTAGCCAAAAGAGACAAGGAATACAGTGTGTAGATGGCTCTTTGTTGTTTATCACCAGGGAAGACAAGAAAAACAGGAGTGAAGTAAATATGTGCTGGTTTGAGAACTAAAATGGAAAAGAGACTGAAATCCCAGGTGTCCTGTGTGGAAAAGGCCACTGCTTCTACACACCAACAGGAAAGGAGAATGAAAATCGGCTGCGCCGGTAGCTCACGCCTGTAATCCCGGCATTTTGGGAGGCCGAAGCAGGTGAATCACTTGAGGCCAGGAGTTTGAGACCAGCCTGGCCAACATGGCAAAACCCCGTCTCTACTAAATATACAAAAATTAGCTGGGAGTGGTGGTGCATACCTGTAATCCCAGCCACTCAGGAGGCTGAGGCACAAGAATCACTTGAAGCCAGGAGGCGGAGGTTGTAGTGAACCGAGATCACGTCACTGCACTCCAGCCTGGGCGACAGAGCAAGACTCCGTCTTAAAAAAAAAAAAAAAAAAAAAAAAAAAAAGCCAGGTGCGTGGCTCACACCTGTAATCCTAGCACTTTGGGAGGCTGTGGTGGGTGGATCACAAGGTCATGAGATCGAGACCCATCCTGGCCAATATGCTGAAACCTCATCTCTACTAAAAACACAAAAATTAGCTGGGCGTGGTGGCACACACCTGCATTCCCAGCTATTCGGGAGGCTGAGGCAGGAGAATTGATCAAACCCAGGAGTACAAGGTCGTGCCGCTGCTCTCCAGCCTGGGTGACAGATCGAGACTCCATCTCAAAGAAAATCACCGAACAACAAAGACCCGTTAAATGCCTGTAATCAGCACTTTGGGAAGGCGAGGCAGGTGGATCACCTGAGGTCAGGAGATTGAGACCAGCCTGATGATTGACATGGTGAAACCCCATCTCCACTAAAAATACAAAATTAGCTGAGGGTGGTGGCACGTGCCTGTATCCCAGCTCCTTGGGTGGCTGAGGCAGGAGAATCGCTTGAACCCAGGAGACAGAGGTTGCAGTGGGCTGAGATTGCGCCACTACACTCCAGCCTGGGCAAGAAGAGCGAAATTCTGCCTCAAAAAATAACAATAAAAATTTTTCACTTAAGCAGTGAGCCTCACCTTTGGTTAATATCAGATGAAGGCAGCCACATTAAGCCACGTTAAGTCAGGGGGAAGAGAGAGCCAAGAGGTGATAAAGCTGGCTACGATTGCTGGCACCAATAGGTTAATGGCTTGCTAAGCTTTAGAGGGAATCATTGCCAGAGGAATTGCAAGCTTGTTGTACAAATAAGTAAATAAAAGTCTTGGACAGGCCCCTAAAGCTGCACCCAGCAGGAAGTGGAGTGTGAAAGTTGGCCAGCACCCCGGCAGGATGCACCCGACACCCACTTCTGAGGAGACCAGAGAGGATGAGATTTGAGGAAGAACTTCCCAGAGGGCAGGGAGTTCCTCCCGGAGAGCAGAGTCAGGGCTTATGCAAGAAACGTCACCCCCGGCCATGACAAAGGCAGGGGTCTTACCAAGGTCCCCCGCGAGTGGGATTTCATCCCTGCTAGAGACCAGCAACTTGTTTCATTCTTTCTTTTTCTCAAATGGGAGTTCTTATTGCAGCTGCCGTCCCTGCTTCACCTCTTAATGGGAATTGGGGGTGGGGGATCCCGGAGGCGCCACGCTGGGCTGATGGAGGGAACTTGCACGGCCCAGGGAAACTGGGCTGAGTAGGATGCAGGGACCGCGGAGGGCTCTGGGGGTGAGGCACACACAAGTCTGTGCCCACCAAACCTTTTCTCTTCCTTTCGGGCCCACAGGAAACCATTTGGCACCTCCTCTGGAACGAAGGTGTGGCCGGCCACTTGAGATCTGGCTGTTGAGGCAGAGGTAGTGCATGTGACCCACGCGGTGAGAGGTCTGCTCCCCGCTGCTGCAGCCATCTGCGGTGGAGACCGTGAGTGTACACAGACAGTGCCATCTGAAGGGAACTCCACTGCCTCTATGTGCTACTTAGGCAGGGGCGACTGAGCCGGAGACTGCAGAAATGTGTCCGTCCCCACGGACAGCCTGGCTTAGCTGTCCGTGGCTGTCTCCTGCGGTGGAGGAGCACACTGGAGTGGCCCGTGCAGTGGACCAGAGCTTCCACCCACACTGTGTTCTGTCTCCTTTCCTAGAACACAACTGGACGTTTCCCACCTCCGTGCAAAATGAGTGGACATAAGGGGTGCCACTTCCACACCTGGCTCATGGAAGCTCCCAGATGGTCTCAGCCCTCCATGCTCCCCGCTACTTCAGGCGGGATGGAGATGGACGGCTCAGGTTGCTCTGATGCCTGCCTGCATAAGGGCTGCCCTGCCAGCCCATTCCCCTGCCCAATATTATGGAAGCAAAAACGTTCTATGGTGTTTGAGCCATTGTTGCTTTTCGGGTCTATTTATTACAGAACTAGCAGAGCCCTAATACAGTCATTGCTACGTGGCCATAATACATGTATTCTATAATTGCGCCTAATTTTATTCACCGGAGGGACGTCCTTTACTTTCAAGATTCTAAATTTTTCAGAAATGCAACATTCAAGGTTAAAGTCGCTGCTAGACCAAGGCTAAACCGTGGCGAGGTAGTTGCTTGCGCCGCAGAGTGTGGGTGTGAACAGCTGGAGCTCAGTGGTTCCTGGAGACTCAGGGACCACCTGTATTCCACATCCGGCTTCCCACCCACGCACACGCAGTATGACCTGGGTTTCCCCTTTATACAGTGGAATGCTAAGTGCCTACACCCTAGCCGGGGTCAGCCAACTATGGCCTGTGGGCACCATCCCACCTGCAGCCTGTTTTTGAGCTAAGAATGTTGTTGACACTTTTAAAAACAGAGAACATGTGACAGTCTGTACGTGGCCTGCAAAGCCTAAAATCTTTACTATCTGCGTCTGCTTTATAGGATTGCTGGGAGGATTACAAAGACTTTATTAGGCCAGTGCCCGGCTCAAAGTTAGCATGCCACACAAAATAATACGTACAGTACAGCTATTCACGTCTCCAAAAAGCAATTGTCCCACATCCAAATTTTGCATTTTGTCCAGTTGATGTCTCTCCTTCCCTCCAAAAAAAAAAAAAAAAAAAAAAGACAAAATAAAAACACGAAGAGCTGCATCTTGATCATCATGGACAGATACTTTTCAGTTAAAAAGTTGCTGGTAGTCTGAGTTCACTTACTTGGAGTATGGACTAAGGAGGGGAAAGCAAAGAGATGCGACATCAGCAGCAGAAAGCCTGCGACACGGCAGCTCTGCTCAGTTTTCTCCGTGGGGAAAGATCGGAACACTTACAAATGAGAACGGGACTTTAAGTAGATAGTATGCAATGGAAAACTGAGCCGGCAACAGTACTTAATGCTGGTTTTCTCAATAAAATCATTTTGCTGTGTAAACGCGCTTATAATGGGGATCTGTTATGAGTCTCAGGCAGGCGACATGAAAGCCGGCCTTTCAAAATCTGATTAGGTGGATAATGTTTGCAAACATGACGCCTGGCAAAACCGGTCTGATTCTAAGGTAAACTCATTTTGGACATAACTGATGTCTCACTGAGACAGCTTTTCAAAGCATGTCTGCAAACACCGGACCCCCGGGGACGGTGCGTGCGTGTAGGGGAGGGAAATTCCAGGGTTTCATATATCAAGATGACACACCCGCTGCACACTTCTCTTAGAAAGTCACGACGCACAGTACTGTGCGTCACAGGTATTGAGAAACACCACCATAGAGTCAATTGACTTTGTTTAACCTATAACCTTTTTTCCTCCCACATAGTAGGTAGTAACATCACACGGAAACAGTGCTCTGAAGACATTCTGGACACATCGTATACAGCACAGCCATTCAAATCAACGGCAACAGAACGCACGAAGAACCTGGTTTTCTTTCAAAGCATGAGCAGTTCTCATTTTACAACATGTGTTTTAACATAATTCAGAAAGTGCAATCTTTGCATGACAACCAGATAATTCTCAAAGGTTACTAGTGAGCTGATAAAATTAACGTTTGGCAAGGAGGTCATGGTTTACAGGTAGGCTGTCCGCTCACCAATGCTCAGAAAAATTCAGCAGAACATACTTTTCATATTTAGATCCGAAGAGAGGTGAGAGACATTCTACTCAAGTCATGGCTGGGCTTTCTGTCCTCAAACGAAATTGGGCAGGCCATTTGCGTGGTTTCTCTGGATAAGTTCCATTTATTAATCATTGTACAAAAAAATCTTGGCATTCATTTGAAGAGAAAAGAAGTTGCTATATCCAAATATTTAACATTTTAACATTGTGAAAGTTCAACGTTTATAACAGGGCTTTTTAAAATGGAGAAAAGTTTTGGAAAATTTTTAAAAAGAAACTTATGATTTATTAGAGTACAGGATCCAAAACACGTTTTTAGAAAAATATAAAGTGCCCAAATACCAACTTACACAGGTGATACAGGCTTCCTGGAGCCCCATGAAGCATTCATGAAGAAAGACATTTAAAAACAGTCTAGATACATATGTACAGCTGGGTCAGTAAAGGTAAAACCATCTTTCTTGACTTTGATGTGTCTAAGAAAAAAGGAAATCAATCAAACCAGAAAACCAACAATTGCAACTCTCAGCATGCTCAGGTTCTTATTAATGCATCTCATTCATATTAATTAATTCCGTATTATCAAACTTTCCCCTTTAAATGAAAGTAGTGTACAATCCTCCCAACCTTGGCGGGCCAGGTGCTGTGAGTGGTTACGTTTCCAGATGCAGGTTCAAATCCTTTGACTTTGGATTTGACTGATGAGGAACATGGACAGTGGATTAAATAGCTCATTCAGGCTGGAGGAGCCAGGGGCCAAATCCCCATCTCTTTCTAGTAACTGCTTAAAGCCTTCCCTTGCTATGAAGTGGTCTCAGGTGGCTTTCCAAACCTTGGTCACCCCAGGGTTTCCAAAGGGTAAACAAGCAGCAGGCATTCAACATGGGTGAGAATACTGCATGCAGATGGACAGACAGGTGCAGAGACAGGCCCCTAACGCCCCATTCACTAGAGCAACTGCATTATTTTAAATGTTGAGAGCAAAGTAACTAGGTCCTAACTTCGGAAGTTAGCTTCTATCGATTAATGACAAGATTAGCTCGCTTGAGAACTGGCAGGCCGAGAGTTGGTGGAGCTCCAGAGCTGCACAAAGGCGTGCAGTTACTCTGGGCTCAGTTACTGAGAACTTCGGAAAGGAGCCAGTGCCGTCCGAACACACGGTCAGGCTTTCCCAGAAGACGCCACAACAGGCTTCGTCCTGCTGCCGTCAGGACCCTGGCGGCTTGGAAAAGCAGATTCCAACACGCACATCTCCTTTCACACAAGTCCAACACTCTTCAAATGAAAGACATTCTCTCTCTTTCTAACCTGCCACATTCAAACAGGCCTTGAAGTGACTCTAAGGAATAACAAGAGGTGTGAAACCACTTTTTTTCCCTTCAAAACCTTTTTTTTTTTTTTTAAGGTTCATTAATTTTTTTTTTTCCTGATTACAAAAGCAAAACCTCATTTTTTGGTCTTTGAAGACCATGGAGTATGACTTCTAAGAGCAAACATTAACATCAGATTTGTATGTCTCACTACAAAAAGAACCCATCACTGATGTAAGACCTACTCATGATACTGAAGTAGATTTTTTAAATTAAAAAATAAAAGTAGTCATTTAAAATGGAGGAATTGTAGATGAGTATGGAAAAATCCATTCACAAAGTTCACTATTTGCATTTTCTAAAAGAATTTTATGTAATAAAATAGAAAACTAATGATTTATAGAGATGTGCATAAACTCAAGAGAGGAATATGGAAGGGAAAACTGTGTTATATTCCCATTTAAATTTAAAAAAAAAAGATAAAACACTTGAAATCTGTGTTTCACATATTAGAAAAAAATAAATTCAAATGATTCTAATTACCATTAGCTTGTTAATGTCTCCATCTCTAAGATGCTGCCAAGATAGCACACAACTTTACCTCTGAATATGCAACTAACTTCAGGGTAAAAAGACACACAGTCCTCACTCGGGACCGAACACGTTCCACAGAGAAATCAGAAGGAAATTATTGCAAATGCATAACCCCATCTGTCCAGCCAAGGAAATGTTCTGAGACAAATGCAGACAGACAGGGGAATGGAGTGAATACAAAGAATGATTACAGGAGCGTCGACTGTGAGACCTCATGAAGACAGAATGTCACAAACTGTCACCACAGGACAAGCATACAAGCCATGCCACTGACACAGTGCCTTTCAGATTAATTCACTAGTGTAGGCGGAGAGCAACATTGTCTTTGCAGCTGGGGAAGAGCACACGGTATTTAAACTTAGTAGGAGGCAACCAGCACTACTGGTGGAGTGGCTTTCCTGGTGCAGCAGGTCCCGAGGGCTCCGTGGAGACGTCTTCTTCCGGAGTCCCGTTCTCTTGGAAGATAGCAGCAGCAGCAAAGGTGCAATGTCCTCTCTAGACTTTACTCATCTATGTTCTCTTTCTTTGCACTGTAAATATTCTGCACCGTTTCATAGACAAACTCCAGATCTTCTGGATACCGGATCTCCAGCTCTGCGTTTGGGATGTAGTGAGTGCCAGTAAACTCTGAGAAATAGCGTCCCACGTCAGGGTGTGAGATTTCTTGAGGCTCCACGTTATATTCCAAGTTTTCTGTTGGTAAAGAGGCACACGGGCATTCTCATTACAATGTCCATTGCTGCCACACCTTTCATCCAGAGAACCTCCCATCACCCCTTCCAGGTGGCATTTTTGGGGTGGAGAAGGGAAGACTGAAGATGTTTATGGAGTCAGGAGAGGGTAATGGGAAAAGGGCAGCAAGTGGCAATCAGGAGAAGGTGGGTGGTGGCACGGGTGTCTCAAGAGCTCCCCACGGAACAGCAGGATCTTCCTCATCTCTAAGCAGGATGTCTGGCTCCAGCAAAACTCCAAAGGTCTCTTGGGGACTGGCAAACTAGAGACTCAACAGGTCTCTCTGACTGGACAATGGGACAACATTATCCCTGCCTGCTCTTTTTTTGGCAGTGGCTAAGTTTCTGAAGCTGCCATGTCACATGGTGACAAGTCTCGTACCTGCCACCCCTCTCCTCTATTCACAGGAGCCCCTCATGCAGACCACACTTTCCACCCGAGCTCCTTCCAACACTGGCCCTTAGCTTCCAACAGAGAGCAGCCTCTTTCCAGGGCTGCTGTGAGACCGTGGGATGAAAGGAAGGTGGCTTGCACCTCCAGACCCCATGTGGATATCAGATGTTATTATCTGTACCATCTCTTGGGAAAACCATGCTACCTCTTCTCTCTGTTCTCTATTTTGCCACTAGAGAAATAGAAAATAAGGCTGGGAGCAGTGGCTTATACCTGTAATCCCAGCACTTTGGGAGGCTGAGGCGGGAGAATCACCTGAGGTCAAGAGTTCAAGACCAGCCTGACTAACATGGTGAAACCCGTCTCTACTAAAAATACAAAAACTAGCCAGGCATGGTGGTGCACTCCTGTAGTCTCAGCTACTCAGGAGGCTGAGACAGGAAAATCGCTTGAACCTGGGAGGAGGAGGTTGCAGTGAGCTGAGATTATGCCATTGCACTCCAGCCTGGACAACAAGAGCAAAAGTCCATCTCAAAAAAAAGAAAGAAAGAAAGAAATAGAAAATAAGACTGAAAAAATGGAAAAAAAAAAAAAAAAAGAAAAAAAAAAGGGCCAGGTGCAGTGGCTCATGCCTGTAATCCCAGCACTTTGGGAGGATGAGGTAGGGGGTCATGAGGTCAGGAGTTTAAGACCAGCCTGGCCAAGATGGTAAAACTCCATCTCTACTGAAAATACAAAAATTAGCTGGGCGTCATGGCGGGCGTCTGTAATCCCAGTTACTTGGGAGGCTGAGGCAGAGAACTGCTTGAACCTGGGAGGCGGAGGTTGCAGTGAGCCAAGATCACACCACTGCACTCCAGCCTGGGCAGCAGAGCAAGACTCCATCTCAAAAAAAAAAAAAAAAAAAAAGAGATAATACAGGCAAGGTATTTAAAAGGCTTGGTTTCCCACTTCCCCAGAACACCTGGAACAAGGCTCCTCCACAGGGCCAGTTAAAGGACGGTGCTTTGTGCGCCCTTCTTTGCCGCCCACGGAGGCCTGGCCTAAGACTGGGTGTGGCCCCTGATGCAGGAGAAGCCCAGCTATGCCCTCCATGACCTGACACCGGAAGGAAGCTGGGCTGGGCAGATCCTCCTATTGTGACTGTGTCCCCAGGGCACCCCAGTTCCGATCACTCTGAAGCCATCCTTGGCACTGCCCATCACTCGAATGAACGCAAATGGGTCTATGAATTAATACCAGTAAGGCCAACGATGGGCTCACCGACACGAACAGCGTGGCCTATTATTTCTTAAACAGCTGGGTTAAACATCCTGAAACACAAAGTCAGGGCATCAGAGGCCCTGCATCCCCGAAGTACACAGGATGAACGCAGGCATCTTTCTGAAGCACTGACTTTAACTGGTAGTCTTTGGGGAGAGGGGGAAGGAGTTGTAGGACTCAATCTGCAGGGTTCTTTTTAAACATAAAACAGGAGGAGCTGAAGAAATGTGAGAATATGTTGTTTTAGGCTGTTTCGGCAGACTGTGACCAGGGACAGAACTGCCTGAACAAATCAGTACCGCTGAGGAAGTCACAGACACGTCATGTGCAGAGATAAATGTATGGAGGCTGTTTACCTTAACAGTACTTATGCTAGGAAAACTGGAAGAGCAGTGTAAACGTCCAAGTGTAGGTCACTGTGTGAATAAATGATGGCACATTAATTCAGCAAAGCAGGAGGCGGCCATGAAAATGAGCAACCTGTTTGTAAGATCCTCCAAGAAAGGTGGGGGTAGAAAGGTTGTACCACTTAGAAAGGGCCTGGAAGGCCATGGATCAGGGGTTGCTCCATGACGTGGCACAGTGGCACAGAGTTTAAACTGGGCACTTACAACGTGCCAGACCCCACAGCGGTGTCACAGGCACCCCTGCCACGTAACCCTGGAAGGAGCCCCCTTCTGCTGTTGCGTGGGCTGCCCAAGGATTTAACCCCGGACTCAAACCAGACAGTCCCATTCCAGGGCTGAAGGGAACCAGAAGTAAGAAAAATCCAACAGTCAGGAGACAGCAGGCGGGGAGGGGCTGGGTAGACTCAGAGAACACCGCTGCCCCCAAAGGGACGCTCCAGCCCACATTAACACACAGGAGCCTGTGGTTTCAGGACCTCCCACTTTTCCCCGAAGGAAACTGAGTCATCCACTAACTCTGATCTCTCTACTGTTGTCAGGTCTCTAGAGATGATTTTCTCTTGGGAAAAATCAATAAATGTTAAAAAACAAAATGCTGCAAATGTTTCAAAATGCCACTGGCTAAGATGCCCTTTCCTGTCCACCCACTGCTGCCACCTCCCTCTTCACATCCAGTAACAGGAGGAACCAACTAGCAAAGCATATTTTCCTTGAGGAGGCTTACGGGGACATGACCACAACCTGGTATCTTAACCAGGCCACCTGCCAGGGCCCTGGCCTTTGGATTTTCTTTTCTTTTTTGTAGAGACAGGGTCTTGCTACGTTGCCCAGGTTGTTTTCAAACTCCTGGGCTCAAATGATCCTCCTGTCTTGGCCTCCCAAAGTGTTGGGATTACAAGTGTGAGCCACCACGCCTGGCCATGTTTGGATTTTCTTGCAGAGCTGCACAGAAATAGTAGAGGGTAAAGAAGCTGGGAATACCATCGAGACAAAAATCCCCTTTGCTCTAAGGGAACCACTGTTACCTGTCATTGGTAAACAGGACATAGGTATCTGAAGTACACAGAATTCAAGCAGGTAGTTTAGAATAACTGCTTTGTTGCCAGTTCGTCTGGAGCAGTTCTCATCTGGGGGCTCTTTTGCTACTAAAGGGACATCTGGTAAGGCCTGCAGACATGTTTGGTTGTAACTGAGAGCTGCTGCCAGCTTGCAGTGGGTGGAGGCCAGGGGTGCTGCTAAGTACCCTACAACGCACAGGACGGCCCCCCACAAACGGTTATCTTGACCAACATGTGACTAGTGCTGGGCTGACAAGCCCTGCTCCAGAGACCCAGCCCTGTGTTTCAGCATTGTTCCCTTCTCCTCCACTTTTTCCTTTCTATGTATTATCGAGGGACAGCCTGGTGTTGGTAACATTCGGCTTCTGTTGGGAGGAGGAAAGAAGCGGAAACTCAGGTTATCAAACACAGATGTGCCAGGGCAACAGGACCCAACAGCTACTACACAGAATTCTGAACATGGGCCCAGAACAAGATGCATGAGAAGTCCAGGCAGGAACGGTGGGAAACCAGGCAAGAAGTAAATGACAGTCCTCGAGGGTGCTCCCAGCCCCACTCCTGGCTGTTAGAGAGGAGCAAGGACTGGATTTGGTGCATTTACTGGCCTGAGCTCCTAGCTTGCTAAGAAGCAGAACAGGAAAAAATTAACAACATAATGAAGTTGGCAACTATGTATTATGAAAGAAAAATAAATGCCAATCCACTAAGAAGATTTTCCCAAAGTTTACTTGTAAGAAAAATGATAAATCTAAGTAACACAAAACTTAATTGAGTAAAACATGAACCAGGCACCACTTAAAAGTTCTGAAAAATCCTGAGAAATCTTCCTGGATTCTCTTCAAGTTTTCAGAGAAATCTGTCTGCTTATTTTAACGTTCAGCTACCCCAAAATATATGAATAAATACTATGGAAACACTACCCATGAGTCCTGTGTGGGCACCTGTCCTGTCCTGATCCGGTCTTCCTCTCCAAGAGAAAAGCACCATCGGTGCCAGTGTGTCGCTGCAGTCCTCCTGTGAGCACACACATAGGCAGCTAGATACCCTAAGTATACTTAAAATTTAGTACTGCTTTATGTGTGTGTACTTAAACAAAACGTATTCTAACCACTCACCCGCAACTGGCTTATTCAATTGCAGCTTAGTATTCATTCCAGTCTGCATAGACCCCAGGCTACTAGAAGACTCCTTGTGAATGACAATTGTCTTGCTATTTTAACAAAGGGGCCAAAGACCTCCTTGTACACGTGTGGAGGGATCGAGGTGGAACTGCTAGGCTGGAAGAGAATGTGTGCTTGAGATTTTTACAATTTGAAAGCGAAAGCCAAAGCATCCTCTGACATGTTTGTGCCACTTAACACTCAACCCCACCCCCATGCAGGGGATCCCCATTCACCTCACCACACTTGCCAGCAGGTACAGCTGGCCATGGACTGTGTGTGTGTGTGTGTGTGTGTGTGTGTGTCAGGCGGGAGGACTGTATGGGTGGAAAGTTGAGTTTGGAAGTATCAAATAAGTTTGTGTGTGTGTGTGTGTGTGTGTGTGTGTGTGTGTGTGTGTGTGTGTCGGGCGGGGAGGACTGTATGGGTGGAAAGTTGAGTTTGGAAGCATCAAATAAGTTATGGAAAAGGGAACCAACGTTTGTCGAGGACATGCCATGTGCCAAGCATTGTACAGGTGCTTTACCATTACAGACAAAACTTAAGAACGAGATTTTCACATGGTAGTTGAATTCCTGGCCTTTCAATACGGCGGCTGACCTAGACTCGGAGCTTCCGAGAAGTCCAGAAGGAGGCGGGACAGGAGCGGCACTCTCCCACCCAGGGCCATGAAAGTATCAAAGCGCGCCCCCTTGTGGGAACACAACATTACACACATGCAAGATGCCGGACATCCCATTAGGGTTTAGGTGAGAGAGTACACACCGGGGAAAGAATTCTCTTCATTGTACAAACTAAAACTATTTGAAGATGTCATATATGTATGTGATTTCTAATTCACTCTTCAACTCTCCGTGCAGAGCTAGTAATTAGAAAAGCATTATGAATGGGTTCTACCTGGGCTAATAGGATCATTGGAGCCAAAGGCTGGAAATTTAGATCAAGAAAAGTGTTTAAAAAATACATTTCATAAAAACACATTAACCCAGAAATGTTCAAAAAATATTTAATATGTGTTTTTAAAATTTGGCCTCTCACTGGCTAAAAATGGGCAAATGTGAGCATAAAATTGTCCCACGTGATTATAACACATTGAATAAATAAAAATCCAGGAATCTATGGCAGAGACAAGGGCAGGGGAGGAGAGAGGGAGGGGGAAGGGAGAGGCAGGGAGGAAGAAGGCGGCTCTTGTTCATTGAAGTAGAGAGAATAACAGTGGTGGAAAAATCACCACTCGGCAATTCTCATACAAAGATTTAGGCAAGGATATTCAAAAAGTGCTAAAACCATGATGTTCAAGGTCACTGGGGAACAGGATCTTTACAGGATGCTACAGAGTGACCACGTGGATTTCTTAATTGAAATAGTGAGTCACTATCTTAGCCAAGTGACCAAACTCAGTATCACTCACAGGGGGCCCCTGATGAGACCCAGTGGGAAGCACGGGGCGAGGGATGTGAAGTATCCTCCCCAAGAATTCTTATCCCGATCTAATCAGGACTCAGACTTCACTCCCAGCTGGCAGACATCATACAGTTAAGGAACCAATGAGGCAAATCCAAAATGTTATACAATTTACAAGACAATGGCCAGGCACGGTGGCTCACACCTGTGATCTCAACACTTTGAGAGGCTGAAGCGGGCAGAATGCTTGAGTCCAGGACTTCGAGACCAGCCTGGGCTACATGGTGAAACCCCATTTCTACAAAAACACAAAAAATAGCCAGGTGTGGTGGTGCATGCCTGCAGTCCCAGCTACTTGGGAGGCTGAGATAGGAGGATCAATTGAGCCCAGGAGGTTGAGGCTGCAGTGACTCATGTTTGTACCACTGCACTCCAGCCTGGGTGACAGAGCACCCTGTCTCAAAAAAAAAAAAAAATTTACAAGACAACCAGTCTGGATTCTTCAAAAAGTCAAAGTCATATGAAAAAGGGGGGAAAAAAAATGAAGAATGAGGAACTGTCTTTAATAAGAGAGACTAAAGAGAAAAAAAACAACCAAATGCAGTGAATGAATTCTGGTTGGATACTGATTTTAAGAAACAAGCCAAAAATAGGCATAAAGTTATTTTGTGACAATTGAGAAATTTGAAAACTATTAGATATTATAAAATAATTGTTACTAGGTGTGATAATGTAATTTGGTTATGCAGAGGAATCTCCTTATACTCAGACATAATTAGGTCATGTCTGCAATATTCTTTCAAATGGTGCAGGAAAACAGTAAAATCTCTATAGATAAAGCAAATATGGGAATCATTTACTGTTGAATTGACTAGAGGGTAAATGGGGGTATTTGATGTATTCTTTTAACTGTTCCACGTGCGAGCAAGAATGATGACTTCAAAGAAGATGAACGGAAGTGGGCTGGAGTATGTCAGGCGTGGGAACCGTGCTGGGGCTGTAAGGGGAAGGCCAGATCCCTAGGGCCTGGTAAAGCATTCTGCACTGCCTGCCGATGAGAAACTCCTGATGGTCAGTCAATTCAAGCAGCAAGTGGCCCGGTCCAGGGACACGCTAGGAAGATCCTCTTGCTGTTGCTAAGGAAAATGCCCGGTTGGGGACAGGCCGGGAGGCAGGTGCCAGTTAGGAAGTAGGCAAGCAGAGACCACCAGAATGGAAATGGGAGACACATGAGGAGACAGCAGTGGGTGTGTAGACAGATGTATCGCGAGGGCAAGGGGAGAAGAGCAAGACACGGCCCCCACGTGGTGTCACTAGTGAGATGGGGCAGGCAGGAGCAAGGGGGGTATGGGGGCACAATGAGTTCATGTTTTTTCTTTCTTTACAGAGATAATCGAGTTAAAACAATGGGTTCAGTGAGTCGGGGTAACAATGTTGGAGAGAAGACCCCTGAGAGCCCTCCAAGCACACATGCCCGGGGGCTGTTACAGAGGTGGGCACGGAGCCCAGAGAAGAGCCCAGAGAACACGGCTTTGGGAGTCACCAGCACATCCACAGACACCCCAAGGGGGAAGGAGATGAAGGCCTAGAGGAGAGTCCCCTGGAGAGGGAGGACCCTGAAGACAGCCACGTATCAGGCATGCTGGGGGAGATCTGCCCCTTGGCCCAGGACTCCGAGTCCCTCAGGAAGCGCTTGCTGACACAGCGCTGATGGAGCCGCCGGCAGAAGACGGGAACTCTCATAGTGTAGGAACAGCTTTGAAGTTCTACGTTTTAAATTCAAGAAGCCAATTTGCTAACATTACCCATCATTTAGTTCCATCTCAATTTAACAGATGGTAAAACCAACAAGCAGATATTAATTTTTTCAGTAATGACAATTTTATGACTAAACCTTACATTGCATGTTTACCTAGATATGATTAGAGATCAACTTCTGAAGTGAACATATCACAACCCCTAAAACCAAATACTTAAGACCAACCCTAAACAGTGAATAATGATGCCATGTGGTAAAGCCATAGACACTGGCCCACGGTGTTGTTGAAAAGAAAATGCTCATTTATTCTTGTGAACGCCATTTGTTGTAGGCTATCAAGCGTTTACCAGGTGACTTGTGCTGGCACCAGTGGCCCAGTGAATCAGTCAATAATGTCCAAATCATGTGTTGATTTTTAGAGATTGTTTATATTCGACACAGCTTCAAAAGTTAAATAACATTACCGTTGGTGCCTCCATCTGCCACAGGGAGCACAGAAACCCCTTACACCATCCCCATCACACTGAGACAGGGCAAGCGACCTGCAGTTTCAACAAACATTTATCTTGATGCTGCTGTTCCAGGGGATCCTTTCAGTTTCTGATTAACTGACAATAATCATTATTTTCCAGCCTTTTATTTTAAGATGAGGTCTCACTCTGTCACCCAGACTGGAGTGCAGCAACACAATCAGAGCACACTGTAGCCTTCACTTCCCAGGCTCAAGTGATCCTCCCAACCCAGCTTCCTGAATAGCTGGGACCACAGGTGTACACTACTCTGCCTGGCTAATTTTTAAATTTTTTTGTAGAGATGGGGTCTTGCTGTGTTGTAGCTGGGAACACAGGTGCACATGACTCTGCCTGGTTAATTTTTAAATTGCAGAGATGAGGTCTTGCTGTGTTGCCCAGGCTGGTCTCCAACTCCTGAGCTCAAGCAATCCTCCTGCCTCACCCTCTCGAAGTGCTGGGATTATAGGTGTGAGACACCTCACCTGGCAATCTCCAGCCTTTCAGAAAGTTCTGAGGTTTTTATACATCCCATATTTTGATTATTGGATTTATCAGAACATAATATTGAGTTAGGTCAAAACTCAGACATGAGCAGGTACAGCATGATGGATGAAGAGGAGGCTCTGTCAAGCTGCCTGGCTTCAAATCGTGTTCTCTAAGTTAAAATCTCAATGGCTTCCCTGTGCCTCAGTTTCCTCACCTAGAAAATGATGATGATGATGTTTCTCAAATGGAGTTAATATACATTAGAATGATGTCCGTCACAGAATGGCACTACATTAGCATTCACATTCATTTTTATTAATAAATGTGAATTATTAATTAATCAATGTGAATGCTTTGACAGACATACACTGAATTCATCCTATTAAGTAGAGGTGAAATTCAACAGGAACAAAGAGAAGGGAGACTCACACTGAAGGCATTCTTGTCTCTTACCAGCTTCCACAGGCTCTGTCAGTCTCCACCTCAGCCTTGCCCTGGGCTGGCACCTGCCGGGGCGGCAGTGGCCCAGACGCCTACCCAACCTTACTGTACACTTGCGGGCTCTCAGGTGCTCCCAGGGCCGGCGCAGTGGGCTGCAGTTCCCACAGGTGGCCACACGAGGGCATCTCCGGCGTCAGCCGGCAGCCACAGCCTTGGGAGGCCAGGGAGCACTAGGGGGCCCCCAGGTGTTCATCCGGTTCCCTTCTAGTCTGGGAGGAGCCGAGGGCAGGGTCCAGGAGGCAGGACTTACAGGAATTTGATTGGCATAGACAGTGGCCAATCAGATGTCCGGGCTGTGGGAGCGGAGGCCCTGGGGGAGGGCGGGTATGACTACTGACCCCTCGCCAGGGCGGCACCTGTGCAGACCCAGCCACGTTTAGCTGACTGTGGGCCCGAAGGAGGCCGGCCATGGGGCGTCGGCCGCCTCTGAAGGAACCGATGGCCCACGCCCACAGTACCTACCCGAGGGCTCAAACGTGCGCTGAAAACACGCCCGCGGGGCCACTGGCACAAGCGGAACCCGCCGCTTACCTTGGGCTGCGTATCGACAGGAGCCGTCCTCCACCAGCACGTTATAGAAAGGCTGGTGGTGGCCGTGCGGCAGGCTGTGGACGTTCATGTTCCGGATCCACTCGTGTCCCATCATGCAGGTGGGGTCCCAGCCGTAGATCACACAGTTATAGCCATACCTAGTTAACACAGGAGGAGCAGTCAGTCCCTGCAGACCCGGCCGCAACAACCTCCAGACAACCGCGTGGCTTCTCAGCTCACATCCTCAGTTACCTGCTTTACTCCACGGTGAATCATTTTTCAGGACACCCCTAACCCCTTTTATAAACACCTCTTATTATCAACATAGCACTTTATCTGGAAAAGAATAAACTTTTCAACAAAAAGTGATTAGATGACAACTGGTTACCCAAAAGAAAAAGGTATGGGGACCTGGCCTGACAACAGCACACCAAATTCAATTCTCAGTACAGCAAAGACTCAGGTGTTAAATGCAGAACTTCTAAAATAGAAAGTATCTTCATGACTCAAGATAGGGAAGGTTTGTTAAAACAAGGCACTAAAAATACAGCCGTAAAGGAAAAGACTAACCAATCTGACATCACTAAAACCAAGAGACTAACAAATCCTGATCCAAACATGTAAAAATATGAGACAACTGGGG
The DNA here is from genome assembly GCF_000001405.40 of Homo sapiens. Classification (NCBI taxonomy): domain Eukaryota; kingdom Metazoa; phylum Chordata; class Mammalia; order Primates; family Hominidae; genus Homo; species Homo sapiens. Next base: position 117,156,434 of record NC_000012.12, read on the forward strand.
AAATAGGAACTCTCATTAGATACTGCATGAAGTTAAGGAACTGGGGTTTTCTAGATGTGATAATAAGATGTTAAATATGAAAAGACAGAGAAGGAGAGAGCACCCCTGCCTTTTAGAGGTACATACTGAAATCGCTACAGGTGAAATGGCATCTGGCACTTGCGTCAATTAACCCAGGGAGGAAGGTCTGGAGGGTGCAGGGGACAGTAAGATTCACCCCGTATGGCAGCTGTTGAGGCTGGATGACAGGAACACCACCTGGTTCCTTATAGTCCTTTCTCTCTTATAAATCTTTGCAAATTTCCATTTAAAAGTTTAAAAAAATGCAATAAAGAATGAAAACCACCAGCCAAAAACTGGGAAAAGATATTTGCAACTTATCGTCATGTAGATACTGATACACAGAAGAACAACTACATATCATATTAGGGAGGACTAATAACTCAATAGAAAAAAATACACGAAATGGGCTGGGTGTGGTGGCTCACGCCTGTAATCCTAGTACTTTGGGAGCCTGAGACGGCAGATCACTTGAGGTCAGGAGTTAGTGACGTGCCTGGCCAACATGGTGAAACCCTGTCTTTACTAAAACACAAAAAATTAGCCAGGCGTGGTGGTGTGCGCCTGTAGTCCCAGCTACCTGGGAGGCTGAGGCATGAGAGTC